>NC_000002.12:192944163-193247193 GCF_000001405.40 Homo sapiens
GCTTCCCTCTGAGGGGCACCCCACTTTAAAATGTGGGTACTTGTAGGGTGGACAGTAGCCTGTAGTCCTCTCAACATACTTCTCTTGGCATGGAACTACTATCTCAGGAGCTGGAGCAAGAGTGATTAAGGCTCCTGTATTCTCAGCACACAGTGTGCAAAGTAAAGGATCAATTTCATAAGTGAGGACTGGGAGTGAGAGGGAGCCCATATCTCTTAACCGTACTCTCTAGGGCTTTGCCTCAATACCAGAAAGCTTACATCCTGCAACTCCACAAAAGAAAGCCCTCTGTTTGGGTGAAGGCTTAGAAGGAAGTCCAGTGTTCTTGTATTCAGCAGTACAGAGTAGAGTCTTTGTTTACCTGAGCTTGGAGCAGAAAGATAGAATAGTCTTGGTCCAACTACCACAGGCTTTCACCTTTTTTTTACTATTTTTTATAGATATCTTAAATAAATGTTTTCTCATTTGTCATTCCTTTTTAGGACTCTTTATAGAGGCTTTAATATTATGTAATTGTCATCAGTTTTACTGGGCACAGCTCAGCAGAGCACTCTGCACTAAAATACTGGAAGTCAATCTATTGAACTGAGATGTTTAAAAGTGAAGTCTTGTCTTAACTGCTTAATCTAGGCTTCTGGAGCTCCATTTAACACAATTATTCTGTTTTCAGTTATTTACTCCTTACATTATTGTATGTTTAATGTATTGCTGTTAAAGTTTAAGAACATAAAACTTCTTTCCAAATTATTCATGTGTTATTTATAAAGAACTCTATAATACTGACTTGTTTTTAAATGGAAGAATGGTTTTAACTTCATTTAACAGGATTTAGAAGAACACACAAATGATAAGGTTAGACTCAGAAAAACAACTGGAACAAATACAATAATTCTTTCTCCTATTTATTATGATGAAGTTGACATGATACATTAAATATGCATGGCTTGTATATGTAAACAATGTCAGATGATGTACTATGAGACAGTCTAAATTAAAACAATGAGAGATCCCCTTAGATAAGCATTACGCAAATATCAGACATAAAACACAAAGACCATGGTAAGCCCACTCCTTTCATTACTCTTGAACACATGGAAATTGACTTTAGTATTGATGAAATATTACAAAATCCTAAACCTGTGTCTATGTACTGTTAATTCATAGGTAGATTTTTAGGAATGACTAAGATTTATTGCAAAATATAAGACGAATAAAAAGTAAATTAAAATAGCTTGAGTCAATTTACACGCCACTTTAGAAACACATTAGTTTTATTTTACATCTTTCCAAAAGACAGATGGTTATTAGCTATGCTTTAAAATGAAACTTGTATACTGTCCAAGTAACAAGCAAAATGCCCAAGACTACATTGGCATAATTTAACAACTGCAATTATTGGGCAAGGCAGTCTGTGAAATTGAGAGTCTCTGCATGCAGAGCTTCTAAACATATACTCCAGTGTTTGGCAGAGGTGTGTTAATATTTAATCCACAATAGTATCTAATAGACTCAGTCCCCCAGTTACTAACAGAATGCATTATTCAAAATGAGGGTATTACTTCAAGAGTTAATAAAGTCACTACATACCTCATTTTCTACAAGTAGGTTTGTAATCATAGGAAAAATTAAGCTTGTGACATAATGGATATGCTAGTTTTTTTGCTTCAAAGTTCAATACTTACCAAAATGTAGTTAATTTTTAATTGTTGTTAAGTCATATAAGTGTTACACTGGTGTTGACTTTAGAAAATGTTTCAATCAGAAACTGAAATAGGATAAATTCACAAGTATTAGTTATATAATTTTTAAAGGAATTTTTTGCACATTAGCACTGCTTTGTAATGGCAAAATTTTTAAAGAAATTATAAGATGAAATAATACTAGTTGTCATTTATAAAGTTGTATTTTTCAACTAACTTTGAAATGCTTTACAAACACAATTTCTTAAATCCCAACCTCATATTTCTCATGCAACCTGTTATAGAAACTGTTTTATTTGGAAAAGATAATATCTGTATTTCAATTTTAGTAGATTACCTTAATATCATAGAAGTCAATATCCAAGTGAAAATCTTGTTTGTTGTAACTAATGAGTGCCCTCTGGAAGTGATGGCAGGTCATTACCATTATTCAAATTTATATGATCAGCCTATCCTATCTAGACTCATTTTCAGTGATAGATAGATTAATAAGACTTTCTGTATTTGTGTTCTTTTTAAAGCAAAATAGCAGTGCCTTGTACTATATTCTGAAGATTTGAAGGAATCACCCTATCATTCATTTGGCTGATTCTGAAATGACAACCTCATTCTTAGCTTCCACCCAGACTGTCAGCATCTTCAGTGTGAAAAAACAGAATATAACTTCAAAGTCAAATTAGATTTGTTGGGGAAATAAATAAGTGGATATATACAAATAGTTTAAAGCAACAGAGGAAAAGAAACTAAAACATGAACTTTGAAATTTGTTAATAATCAAAGAAATTATTAAACATAATTTTAAATCTATAATTATTAGCAGATTAGGTAAACTATCTAATGTTTAAAATGAACATTAACTTGTTATTTATTCAAAGGTGTCTTTGGGCTATCTTAGGGCTGTTGTGAGGATGAAGTGTATAATTCATGAATATACTTGGCATGATGCCCGGCATGTAGTATCTTTTGATTAAGATGGTCTCTTACTATAAGTGTGACTATTAATGGAGGAGGCAATAGAGGAGAACATCATGGGACTAGCTCCGCATACTTATCCCGATGGATATTTCTGTCCCATGAAAAGAAAAATATATTAACAGAAAGTTAAAGAATAATATAATAGCAAAGTAGAAAATATTAATGGAGAAAAAGGGAATCAAGAAAAATGACACAACAGGTTATTTGAACAGTGGGTTTAAATGTAATACATTGAGAACTCAAGGGTTGGATGTTTTTGAAAGCCAGAAGAATAAGAATCTGTTCAGGGTATTGAATTATCACCTAAGTCATTTCCAGTGTTGACAGCATTTGCGATGAGGTGTTTTTTTGTTTGTTTGTTTGTTTTCTGTGGCTTCATGGGCTGTAGGCATCTCTAAGTAGACCAAATAAATACATTCCTCATAAGTGTAGGTGAGATATTCTGATGTAATTCAAAATGATCTTAGTGTAGGGAAAACAATTTTTGTCATGTAAAAGTTGCAGACATGTATTTTTCTGAAAAATAAATCTAAAGATGATTTATGCCCATCATCTGATGAAGTATGAGAATAAGTAAGATTGAGTAATGTATAAGTTTTAAAATGTAGTATCCAAAAGTGTAATCTATTTGCCAGGGGGAATGTTATGGAAAAATAATTAGAGTCCAAGCCTGAAAGTAACTTAAATCAATTCCGCCTTTATTTCATTGGCCACAGGTGCATGACATCATTCCAACTAAAAGCAAAGGGAGAAAGCATATGGACTCAGCCAATAATTTCCAGACACTCATTGACAAAAAACAAAAGATATTCATGGTTATCACAAATACAAATATATACTAAGCTCCTAAAGATGTTCACTAGCAATCCAATAAAACAAATTGAAACAGGAAATATACTGAAGAAGCTACTGTCATTCACTCTTAGTAAATATATGTGAAATTCATTTTAAGAAATCAGATTTGGCATTTTGATTCAAGAGTCTTAAAATTTTTAAACACTATAATCTCAATAATTTTATTCGGAAAATAATAAGAAATGTGTTCAAATATTTATAAATAAATATATCATTATAACATAGTTTAAAGCTCTGATTAGATTGATTTTTAGTAATGTTAGACCTAGATGTATGATAACTTTTTTCTTTTTTGTACATTTTTACATTTTGCCAATTCAATTATATCAGGTTATGTTATTTTGACATATTTTTAAGACAAGAAACAAAAAGCAATTGCATCAATAAAGATTAATTTCCACTTTAAGTAAAAACAACCACAAAATAAAAATGGCTTCAACATAGCAGAAATTGTGTTTTATGATAAAAGTTTGAGGGTAAGTAGCCAGGACTGTAGCCCAGTTTCATGAGAATCTCAGAGACGCAACCTCATTTGATCATATTATTTTACCATGTTCAGATGCTTCAAATGTGAACTTCATCTATAACATGCCATCTTATTCATATTTGAGAAGAAGTTGTCTTTGGTGATAATTCTTTGTGGTCTGGCATTTCTGCACATGCTCTAATCACAGAAGCCAATTTAGGAATGGTTTTACAAGCAAGCATCCTTGGAAAGGCAAAACAGTCGTTACATCCAGAGAAATTCAGAGACATGTCTCCTAGCCAAAGACATTATACCTCCTCAGAGACATTCCAGGATAGGAATGTAGTTTTCCTATTTGGAAAAGAGTTTGGCTTACAGTCAGGATAATAAAGTAATGTCTTTCTCTGGGGAAAATTATAAGATTAAGAGTTCCCACTAGTAGAGTTCTCCTTAGCAGTGAAACAGACTCATGTGCATAGCATCTTCCCAGATCTGCTCTGCATTGCCCTCGTAGAGTTGGGAGTGGGGCAAGTAGCACCGACATTAACCTGAAGTTAATGCTGCTTTCTGTGCACTGAATATAACCCATTTGTCTAAATGCATTTGTACTCATTGTTTTCTTGCCAACTTCCATAAAAATTGTGGTAAATTAGCCTAGGGGCTATGCTTCTGCTTGGCAATTGCTTGACCACTTGACTTACATAAAAAAAGAAGTAAAAAAGGGAATGCAGACATAAGAGCTGTTCTTTTAGGAGTATTCTCAGAACTTACCATGGTGTACATGGGAAGAGTTATTGAGGAGTCAAGCAAAACTCTAAGAGTGACCAGGAATTATAGTTTTAATTGTAGCTACGTTACTAGCACAGTTATCAGCAGTCCTACTATAGAAGAAGGAAAGCTGATATCATTGGAAAACTAGCTGTTGTCCTATTGAAGTACTTATGCTCAAAAAAAGGAAATAAGAGACAATTGGCAAGAAAACAATGTGGAGTGAAATTAAACTTTTATGAATGTATGTACTATGTGTGTTCACACAGAAGCAAATATCAAGTGATCTGATGAATGTTAATCAGTCTATTGGCCAAAATGGGCAATTAATAATAGATACTAAGTCAAATGTTTAAAGTACAGTCATGCATTGTTGAATGACAGGGATACATTCTGAGAAATGCATCATTAGATGATTTGGTTGTTGTGCAAACCTCATCGTGTATATTTACACAAACATGGATGGTATAGGTTGCTACACACTTAGGCTATACGGTATAGCTTACGGTTCCTAGGCTACAAACCCATACCGCATGTTACTGTATTGAATACTGTAGGCAATTTTAACACAATAGTAAATATTTGTGTATCTAAACACATCTAGATATAGAAAAGGTACAATAAAAGTGTCATATTATAATCTTAATGGGACCACCATCAAGTATGTGGTCTGTTGACAGAAATGTCATTGTGTGGTACACAACTGTAATATATTTTAAACTTCAGCCAGATTTTAGGACAAGTTTTGAAATAAAGAGTGAGAACAAATGCTGACAAATATGTTTATAGTAGACAAAAGAAGCTGAACATTCAGCTACTGTGTCTTCAGGGAAATACTCGGTTGACAATCAGGACAAAGGGCATTGTTAGAATATACAGGAATGACATATAAGCAAGCAAATGTGTTAAGAATATGAAGATATTAAGGCACTACCTAAGAACTTTATCACTAGTTTTGGTATAAATTGATCTTATTTAAATAAATACTAATAAAACATACAATCAGATATTTGGATAGTAAGAAATAATTCAGGATTTCATGGAATGACTTTTTTCCCCTCTGAGGCTATTGTAATTATAAATCTGTAATACAGGAAAGAGAGAGAGAAAGTATTGTAGCCCCATAAAAGATACATTTAAATACTTTAAGCAATTTCTCAGTCCATTTTGAAGAGGAAGTAAAATAAGTCCTAAAACTGTCAAGCATGAGATTTAGACGTTTGGTGGTAGTGATTTTGTTTTATTTTCTGTGATTAAACCTGTTTACTCATTTTCTAAAATTTTGCAGCAGGTATAAAGGCAGATTAAGCAAACCTAATTGTACTGAATAAATTTAGAAGGATGTAATCTTGTTATTAATTGTCATTCATTTGCTTTATTTGCATATCATGATGGCCTTATCTATTTTCCAATTAGTATCCCCTGTTTTTAGTTTATCAAGTGATTCCAACAGAAAAATCTCAGTGTATTTTATTATGGGTTTGGTAAAAGTGCCCGATCTAGCAGATAATTACACTTTCCAAGACACTTTTATAGGCTTTTATTTCATAGCCCATGAAGCTCAATATTTCGTGAATTTTATAGTCCATGAAATAAAGAGCTGGTGTAGCAATAAGTTAAACCATTTAGGTTTCAAAAATGAATGTTAATTCTGAGATGCATTATGCTATAGGCCAATTGTCTAATGAGTTTGAGAGTAATTTTATTTTTATATATTTGGAGCAGACACTTTATCACATAAACACATTTTATTTTTTACTCAAGAAAAAGTCCAAGATGAAAGAAGTCAGGCAAAATGAGGAATAGATTTCTATCTCTGATTTCAATCATATCAGGTGCTGGAACTGAAGCCAATAATTTAGGTTTCGAAAATTGTTCTTCCATTTAATAACTGTGTAACTGTGTGCATATCACCTAACTTCTTTGAGTTCAGGTTATTCATCTATATAATTATGTTAATTATACCTCATTATATGTCTATCTCATAAGATAGTAGATTTTAAACTTTTCTAAATAGCAAGACCTTGTTTTTTAAACAAATGAAATGTTATTCAGAAATCCAATTAATAAACACAATTTGTTCTGGATGAAAAGGGAATGGCAGGCAGCATTGAAAAAGAGGCTGGTTCAGCTTCAAGTTTCCTTTCCTTCCTCATGGCCCTTCCCACCACAGGCTATCTTAATAACAACTTTGCATATCAGTAGGGCTTAAAGTACTCTTTGAAATACTTTGCCATTTAAATATTCTCATCTATAAATTGCCTAACATAATAAAGTATTAAATAAATTAGTGGCATTATGTTGCTAAATTAGTGAGGCAAATCTGTTCCCTAAACATTTTCTGGAACAGAGCACCTTCCAAACATTTTTTTGATAAAATATAATGCATAGAGCAAATGCATTCACTCTTTTTAATTACATTCTTAAAATGCATGGCTTTAATCATGCATGAGAATTATTTTCAGAATCCTAAACTGTCCTAAATACAATAGTTTTTTAATATTTGCATATTTACTGAAATTTTGAAACTATATATGTTTATATGTGTGTGTGTGTGTGTGTGTGTGTGCGTGTATATATAAATCTCGGCTCACTGCAACTTCCACCTCCCAGGTTCAAGCGATTCTCCTGACTCAGGCTGGTCTTGATTCCTGACCTCTAGTGATCCGCTCGCCTTGGCCTCCCAAAGTGCTGGGATTACAGGTGTAGCCCACCGCGCCCAGCCTGAAACAATATGAAATATTCAGTTTTGATTTCCAAGAGTATGAAGCTTTATTAATGCATAATGTAATCTTATTTTTTTTCTACCAATGAATACAGATAGAAAAAAATGTTCCTAACAGGAATTTCTACTAATGTATTGTCAGTCAAAATTTAATCTGAACTTAAATTTTCTATATATTCACCACAAACTAAACAAATTCCAAAAACAAATAAAATGTTATTTGGAAAATAAAATCGGATGTATTACATCTCTTGTTCATGTTTGAAGAGGCTGAGTGGAGTTCACAGTTTTGTCAGAATCAATATACAGAAGGCAATGTAAATTTTTTGTACATTACTAAGTTTTTAAATAAAGAATATGCATGTAAAAGCAAATCCATTTTCAAGAAGAGTGAACTATGTATATTACCTAAAATTAAGATATGAATGTGTTCAAATTATAAATATACAGTTGACCTTCAATAATACAGTTTGAATTGTGCTGGTCCACTTATACATGAGTTTTTTTTCAATAATATATTGGAAATTTTTTTGTAAATTTGCGACAATCTGAAAAATCTTGCCTAGCCTAGAAATATTTAAAAACATTCAGAAAAAGTTAGGTGTGTCATGAAGGCATCAAATATATATAGCTACTAGACTGTTTATGTCTTTATTGGCTGTTATGTTATTGGTAAGGCTTCCAGTCAACAGTAGGCTGTTAGGTTATCAGCAAGGCTTCCAGTCAACATTAGTTAAGTTTTTTTGGGAGTCAAACGTTATACATATGATCTTGACTGTGTGTGAGGTCAGTAGCTCTAATTCTTGCGCAATTCAAGGGACAACTGTAATTTATATTATTCTCTATGAGGATTTCATTGAATAGTCCACATGTATATCTCCCTTCTTTCAATGCTATGTATAAATAAATTTATGGGAACTAATTTAATATATGAAATGCTATGAAAGTGTAATTCCTTTAATCTAAAAGACATGACCACTTTTCCTTCCCTGGAGACCTGTTCTTCTCTGCTGGAATGTTCTCCCTTCATTCAATATCTGCCTTCTGGTGATGCAAAAACCATTGCAAGCCACAGGTACATACATATTATATATATTTATACAGTCTGTCTCATACACACACAAATGTATGTATATGAGATAGAGTATATAAATATATACATATAATGTAAAATATACACTAGAAAAAGATTAAGTCATTTTCAAATATCAACATAAATGTCCTAATACAATTTTTCAGTTTAAAAAATAAAAATGTTAGTGGCCCTACAAAACTGTGAAAGTCCTGCTCACTTGTGCAAGATGGGCATAGCTATCAGAACCCATGAAAAGAATTTAAATATTGTTTATTTTCACCCACTCCTATCTTAGGGGAGGGCAAATGTTACTTCTTTTTCCTCTGTGTACTTTATATGGATTGGTTATTTAGTACACCCTTTGTTTGCTATAGATTTTGAGATAAATCCAAAGACAGATAAAAGAAGTTTTATCATATTGGAATCCCAGTGAGAATTTTTACTTCTTCCTCCCCATGATATACTTTCAAGAGTCCAGAGCTCTCAGACATGTGGCTGCTGGGCTTTTGCTTAGTGGCAGTTAGTATGATGACCTGTGGATTTCTTAGTTTGTGCAAATTTGCCAATAAGGACAGCAGAGCTGTCTACAATAGAACGACTCATCCACACATCTGACCAGGCCCTTATCTGTACTCCTAGGGTTGCAAATATGAAATAGTGCTAGTTTTGGCATATGATGTAAACACTCTCCTGGATACTACCTTAGGCTTACAAGGAGAAATAGAGGACTAATTAACAACTCAATTTGCAAAAAAACAATGCTTAAATTACTCATAAACAGAGGACAAAAATAAAAAATGACATGTACCAGACCTTATTTTTCTTTGATATGGCAAACATATACATGTTTCCAGCTAAAACCAATCATTTATAAAAATAATCATACAAACTTAGCTATATGGAAGCTCTTCCTTTAGTCTACTGCATTTTATATGAGTTATGTGGATTAATAAGTTAGCATACTACAGTTTTATTTTTAAACTCAATCCTACTACAGCAGCTGTTCATTAATTTATCTGGTTATGTGTATCTCATATAATTTTGAGATTACTGCCTCTAAAGCCAATTTAAAAACTTTATAACCTCTTCCTGGAAAGAGAACAGTCTTTATTTTAAAATGCCATATTCGCAACTCTTAACACATATCTAGAGATTTTTCCAAGGTATATCCCCAGGTAACTGTAGACCTATTGAATTAGAGTTTCCATGGGTGGGCCTCAAAAACTTTTATTTTTTATAGTTAGGTAGTATACTTGCACTGATGTTGAAATTTGGGCAATATTCATCTAGATACATATTTTAGAAAAATGCATAAGCAACAGAGGACATAAACAATTTGTTTTATTTACCATAGTGTCACCAGTGTGTATCACAAAATCTGGCACGTAGCAGATATTCTGATGAAAAAAAGTTTTCAGATTATTTAAAAACAAAGGATTTAAAAGAGATATAACCAATTTTAAAAATGAGACAGAGAAATTGTTGGTGAGCCTTTTAGAAATGTTTTTGATACTTACTTTATTCTTCTTCTTTCCTCTTAACTATATAAAATTCTGTAATTTTTGGATTGTTAGCTTTTCCTTTAATAAACACACTTGCTTACAGTCAGCCAGATAAAGCCTTGGCTAGATCTGTTAAAATAGCTTACTGATCTAACATCTTGAATTCTTCATAAGACAGAATATGCCATGAAATATCATGTTTTAGAAATACAATCATTTTTACTAGTACTTTTTATGCATTCAAATTTCCTGAATTGTGCAGGTCCCAGTTAGGTGGCTGGTTCCATTCCAGTAACAATTAGGAAACTCTTTTTATAATCCAATTTGATTGATTAAGAAAAAGAGGTTAAGACAAAAATGTTAGGTTCCCAAATACAAATACACCAATAAAAGTCAAGAACTATATCTGAAACCCACATCTGCATGGCTCCAAATTCGTATTCTTAAGCAGTGTGGTATGGTATTATCTTTATTATTATATTTTCTTGTTTGTCAAATCAGGAAAAGTCCGTATGATTACCTTACTTCAGTGTTCTGATTTTATTTTCCATAGGCTCTATTAATTCTTTTATTTTAAACAGCTTTATTAAGGTTTTAATTGAATACATGAACTTCAGATATTTAAAGTGTTTAATTTATGTACTGCTGTAGCTATATAGCCTATACACCTACAAACCATCGCAACAATTGAGGTAGTGAACATGTCCAACACCCTCAAACATTGCTTCTTCTTTTTTTTTTTTTTTTTGAGACTGGAGTCTAGTTCTGGTCGCCCAGGCTGAAGTGCAGTGGCACGATCTCAGCTCACTGCAATCTCTACCTCCCGGGTTCAAACTATTCTCCTGCCTCAGCCTCCCAAGTAGCTGGGATTACAGGCATGTGCCACCATGCCCGGCTAATTTTGTATTTTTAGTAGATATGGAGTTTCTCCATGTTGGTCAGGCTGGTCTCAAACTCCTGACCTCAGGTGATCTGCCTGGCTCAGCCTCCCAAAGTGCTGGGATTACAGGTGTGAGCCACCACGCCCAGCTGGCCCGCAAACATTTCTGTGTGCCCTTTATAATCTTTCCATCCAGCCTTGCTCCAATCTCCTTCCTCCCTCATTCTCCCACAACAACTTGAACTGCCCTCTGACCATGTATGTTAGTTTACATTCCTAAACTTTTACGAAGAATTATACAGAATCTATTATTTTCAATTTTAATTATTTTTCTCAGCATAGTTGTTTAAAAATTCAAACATTTTATTAGCAGTATCAATAGTTTTTTTCTTCATATTACTGATAGTATTCCATTGTATGGATATACCAGTTTATCGGTTAATGAACATTTGCTTTGTTTTGTATAGTTTTTTTGGCTATTACAAGTATAGCGGCTATAAAATTTGTAACCACGTCTTTGTGTGGACTTTTTCTTATTTCATTTTGGGAAATATTTAAGAGTAGAATGGCTGAATCATATCACAGGTGTATGTTTATCTCTGAGAAACTGCAAAACCATTTTACACGTGATTATGTCAATTTATACTGCCTCAAGCGGTATATGAGTTACACACACTCCATAGTCATTTTTTTAATAGTCGTTTTCATAGATGTGCAGTACGTCTTTCTGTGGTTTTAATGTACATTTCCCAAATGGCTAACAGTGTATATTTTCATGTACTTATTTACCATCTATATATCCCCTTTGTTGGACTGCTTATTGAAATCCTTTGCTTTTTTTTGAGACGGAGTCTCATTCTGTCTCCCAGGCTGGAGTGCAATGATGCATTCTTGGCTCACTGCAAACTCCACCTCCCAGGTTCATGCCATTCTCCTGCCTCAGCCTCCCGAGTAGCTGGGACTACAGGCACCCGCCACCACACCCGGCTAATTTTTTTATATTTTTTAGTAGAGATGGGGTTTCACCGTGTTAGCCAGGATGGTCTCGATCTCCTGACCTCATGATCCACCCGCCTTGGCCTCCCAAAGTGCTGGGATTACAGGCGTGAGCCACGCCCGGCCATCCTTCACTAATATTTTTATTGGGTTTGTTGTATATTATTAAATTTTGAGATTCTTTTATATTCTTTGGACAAAAGTCTTTTGTCAAGTATATGATTTGTAACTATATTCACCTAGTCTGTGGCTTATATCTTCACTCGGTTAACAGTGTCTTTTGAAGAGCAGAAGTTCTTATTTTGAATTGAGTATAATTTTTCAGTCACTTTCATAGATCATATTTTTAGTGCATATCTAGAAATTTTTTTCATAACCAAGGTTAGCAAACGTTTTTGTTATATTTTTTCTAGACATTTTATATTTTTCATTTTCATTTAGAGCTATGAGTCATTTTAAGTGACTTATATGATGCAAATTATGGATCAAATATCTTATAATTTTTGCATATGGATATTCAATCATTAAAACGTATGTTGAAAAGACTATCATTTTTTTCTACTTAATTGTTTTGCACTTTTGTAAAAAATCAGTTACCATATGTATATGGGTCTATTTCTGAATATTCTGTTATGTTCTATATTTCTGTTTTGAAACTATCACTTGTTTAATATAAATTTACATTATATCTTTCAATTTTGTTTTAGTTACTTTAGGTCTGCTGAGTAATCATATAACTTTTAGAACCAGATTTCAAATTTTTATTTTAAAAATCCTGCTATGGTTTTTATTGGAAGTGTAGTGAATCTATAGTTTGGTTTGGAAAGAATTATCATCTTCTGATTCTTCTGATTGGTGGATATGGTGTCTTCTGATTCATGAATGTAGCATATTTCTCCATTTATTTAGTTTTTTTAAATTTTTCTCTCATAATGTTGAGATCTTTTACAGCCTTTTAAAGATTTCTAATTTCTTTTATATATTAAAAGTTTTTTTACACAATAATGTTGAAATTTTAATTATTCAATTGTTTTCTCTGGTACATAGAAATGGTTTTGATTTTTACAAGCTTCTGGCTTTTCATGGCTACCACTCCATGGAGATGAAAAGATAGTTAATAGTTGTAGTTCTAAATTAACAGATCCTGCTGTCCTTATAGGCTTAAGAAAAGTTTCTTGAATGAATATGTTTAGTTTGTTCTGTGCCTTTAATTTTTAGGGGTCCTGAAATGGCTGAGTTTGATATATTTGCCTTTTTCTTTTTTCTTTTTTTTTTTTGCTTTTGTTTCGAGCAAACTCACTGAACTTCTGTGCATCCTAATTCCACGAACCCACATTTATTAAGCAATTTGATTACATATTTTCTAAAAAAATTATATATGTCCAGACAAGTTCTGGTTTCTTTTTCTTTGTTTAGGGCTTCAGATTATTTAAAGTGGATTTGTTCACACTTGTCTCTTGATATTATTATTCACTACTTAGTGCCTAGAGACATAAATCATACAGTTTTTTGGGGCAACATTCCTAAGAGGTGCCCTGGCATGGAGCTGCACTGGAAGGGAGGTAGAATGAAGATGAACTTTATGTTCACCAGAAGCTCACAGTAAAAGTATTCAGTTAAGAGCTGATTCTGAGCCAGGCGCGGTGGCTCATGCTTGTAATCCCAGCACTTTGGGAGGCCGAGGTGGGCGGATCCTGAGGTCAGGAGATCCAGACTATCCTGGCTAACATGGTGAAACCCCGTCTCTACTAAACAAATATAAAAAATTAGCCAGGCGTGGTGGCGGGCACCTGTAGTCCCAGCTACTGGGGAGGCTGAGGCAGGAGAATGGTGTGAACCTGGGAGGTGGAGCTTGTAGTGAGCTGAGATTGCACCACTGCACTCCAGCCTGGGCAACAGAGTGAGACTCTGTCTCAAAAAACAAACAAACAAAAGAGC
Organism: Homo sapiens; assembly: GCF_000001405.40. Taxonomy (NCBI): domain Eukaryota; kingdom Metazoa; phylum Chordata; class Mammalia; order Primates; family Hominidae; genus Homo; species Homo sapiens. Next base: position 192,958,044 of record NC_000002.12, read on the forward strand.
TGGTTCTGAAGGATCATTCACATTAGTTTAATATGTTGAGGGAAGTTTAATGTTACTGATACTTTTGTGAACTTTTGTGAAGTTTGACTCTTGATTTTTTTTAGGAAGTTCAACACTATTGACATTTGTTGCTATGAGGTTGATTATTTGGAAGGCTTATTCACAGTTTTTGTTTGTATCAGAATTTAGAAATGCATCCAATGGGAAGATGATAGCATCATAAAATTCAAGGAGCCTTTCCAATGTTTGATGTGATATGATGAGTACTTCTGCGTCCAGAATTTGTTCCTTGCTGTGGGTTCTTGGTCTCTCTGTCTTCAAGAATGAAGCCGCGGACTCTCGTGGTGAATGTTATAGTTCTTAAAGATAGTGTGTCCGGAGTTTATTCCTTCAGATGTTCAGATGTGTCAGGAGTTTCTTCCTTCTGGTGGGTTCATGGTCTTGCTGACTTTAGGAGTGAAGCCGCAGACCTTCGCAGTGGGTGTTAGGGCTCTTAATTGTGGCGTGTCCGGAGTTGTTCGTTCCTCCTGGTGGGTTCGTGGTCTCGCTGACTTCAGAGTGAGGCTGCAGACCTTTGTAGTGAGTGTTACAGCTCATAAAGGTAGTGCAGACCCCAACAGTGAGCAGCAACAAGGTTTATTGTGAAGAGTGAAAGAACAAAGCTTCCACACTGTGGAACGGGACCTCAGTGGGTTGCCCCCTGCGGCTGGAGTGGCCAGCTTTTATTCCCTTATTTGGCACCGCCCACATCCTGCTGATTGGCCCATTTTACAGAGTGCTGATTGGTCTGCTTTTACAGAGTACTGATTGGTGCATTTATAAACCTTTAGCTAGACACAGAGCGCTGATTGGTGAGTTTTTAGAGTGCTGATTCGTGCGTTTACAAACCTTTAGCTAGACACAGAGCACTGATTGGTGTGTTTACAATCCTTTAGCTAGACATAAAAGTTCTCCAAGTCCCCAACCGACCCAGGAGCCCAGCCAGCTTCACCTCTCACTTTGACCTTTCTATTAGACCCGAGAAATAATCACTGCTTTGGTTTGAGTGTTTGCAACCTTCAAAAATTCATATATAAACTGAATCCTTATTGTGGTTGTATTAAGATGTGGGGTCTTTGGGAAGTGATTAAATCATGAGGGATCCACCCTCATGAATGAAATTAATGATCTTATACAGGAGGCTTAGGAAAGCTTCCTGGTCCTGCTGTTTCTTCAGCTATGTGAGAACTGAATATTCATTTTTTCCCTTTTTGCCCTTCTTCCATGTGACGATACAGGAACAAGGTACCACCTTGAAGGTAGAGAGCTGGGGTGATGGAAAAGTGAGCATGCCAAAGGATATGAAATATAATATCAACAAATGAGAAAAAAAGACTGGATTAGGTAAGTCTATCAGTAAAACATGAGGTGTCAGGGAGATCACTAGTGCCATATTTGTATAAAGAAGCAGGCAAAACAGGCAGCATCTCAAAAGAGAAGTAAGCATTTAGACATTTACACTAGGTTGTCCACATGAGGTTGGAAATTCCAAAATAGGGAATTCAGCTTAATCTGGGTGATATAAATGATTTTAGATTTTAAGTTCCAGTTGCAAAACACTTGGATTGAATTTTGATTTTCTTTTCACTTGTAATTAACTTCACTTTGTCTTCAACTTCACCCACTTTATTGTACAATATTAACAATAGTATCAGTAAAACAAATAAGGCTAATCAATGGCCTATAATTTCTGTTTTCTTAAAATAGAGATGGGATCTTACTATGTTTCTCAGGCTGGGTTTGAACTCCAGGGCTTAAGTAATTGTCCCACCTCAACCTCCTGAGTAGCTGGAACTACCATCAAGGCATGCACCACCAAGCCTGGCCCAATGACCTATTATTTCTAACACGAAAATCACTTATTAGCTAGACAAGCCAGAGGGATCATCTCAGAGTAACATTACATATTAATTTAAAAATTATCAAATTAAAAGCTCCATAAATGATAAAATAAGTATTTAGTAATTTGAACAATTATTTATAAGACTAAAAATAAACTCAACATTTAATTAAAAACGTGCTGTCCATTACTTCAGACAGGTCTTTCTTCAGCAAGCCATTCGTAAAAGATGTTAATTAGAAGGTAAATGACCATATTAATTGCATAATTTATCTAAACATATATTTTATAATGTCAAAGATAAATACATACAAGCTTTCTACATTTTAAAAATAATGTTTAATATATGCCACTAGAGAAAATTATTTGATTATCAGATATTTTTATGTCAAATGTTAAGGATAATTTTAATCAAGTTTAATGAAAGTAATTATTAATTAAAAATCATATTTTGAAGACAGCAAAATCAACATATTTTACATGTAAAAACAAAAATGAACAGATTATCAAACAAAATTGTATACATAATTATGCCAATTAAAATTATAAATTCTGTCACAAAAAGGAAAGGAAGGTAAGATGCTATTTTTTCCTTAAATGCTTGCACAGATTGTCACCATAGTAACTAACGGACACATCAGGAGAAAATCATTCATTTATATATTCTTGCAGGTGACTCTCACTCTCCCAATCTTTCTTTCAGCTGCCTCCATAACTTATTATTAGAACCAAAACAAATATTAGTGGAAAAACAGACGTTCACCTGAAAAGCGTTGCTTTTCAAGTAGAATTAGCTTGTAAATTGTGCATAGCCAAAGTGGTCAATATGCATTTAGTCTTTAGTCTGCAATATCCGTTCCTGCCTAATTAATTGGTATGAAAATATTTCTTGTTTAGCACATCTTCCTTTATATGAGAAGGAGTTTTTTTTTTCTGGCCTTACTTTCTAATAGAGAATCATATAGGATGAGTGTGAGAAAGTTCTTAGAGAAGTAGATTCAGAAGACTAAGTATTGATAGATGCATCATCTTAACTAATGGATAAAGAATGAGATATTTCAATAAGGAGCAATTTACAATGGCCTGTCTAATAATATCAATTGATGTCATTTGTTATAACTTATACTACGTAACAAAATCATACTGAAGGCAAGAGCTTTCTGAGTTAGACATTTTATTCATATTTCCTGGATGAGCATATAGCGACTCAGAAACATATAGTAACTTGACAACTATTTACAGCTAGTAATCAGTGGGACTAGAATGCCAAACTATGCCTGTCTATTTATAAAACTAAAGACTTTTCACTACAATGTACTGTCACGTTCTTATTACACATAGAAGCCAGATGGCAAATTGGAAATACATCAGTCAGAGAAGCTATGGTAGAGATGGTAATTTTACTCTAATAACCATCCCCTTCCTCCATATAGAAATATAAATATCACCCCACTCAATTTTAGCTTGACACATGGCTTGCCTTTATCATTTATCAGCTTTTCTTGTAGCTGTGACTTGTCATGTGATTAAATTTAGGGCATGAGGAATAAGCAGAAATGACGTGTGGGATTTCTGAGACTTCTCCTTACAGAAGATAATACTTTCCCATGGCTTTCTATTTTTTCTTCTTCCTGCTAGTTCACATACAGATATGGAGGAAAAGTAGTTTCAATTATGCAGGATTGCAACCAAAGAAATAGTAGTTTGAGATGTCAGGTAACCGGGTGCCTGAATGTCCTTGTGACGTGAAGCAACCTGCCAATTTTGGATTGTTCACGTCTGGTCTCCCCAGAGTGAGAGAAATTAATTTCTTTCTCATTTTAGTTACTATATTCTGGGGTCTCCTTTCTAAAGAGCCTTGAGTTGTAACTTAAGTAGTGGAGATATTCATTCACACCCTGTTCTAGTTTGGTCTTTCATAGTTATCTTATACCCAGAACAATTTTATTCACATGATAAACTTTTAACAAATGCTTACTGATTTAACTTATTCTTATATCCTGTTTAATAATAGAAAGAAAATACATGAATAATATAATTGGTAGGGTTATCCTCATGGTCATCAAAATACAAAGGATAAGAGAAGCAACTGTAACTGAAAGCAAATCCAGAGTTTCATAACAACCAAAGCTGAAAGTTTAACCATACAGATTCCTTAGCTTTCATTGTTGAATAAAATAAAACATAGTAGTGCATCAAAAATGGCAAGCTGTTTCCAAGCTATAAATTCTGAAAAAATATTGCACAATTGTCTCTGGCAAAACAATATTGTTTATTCCAGAGACAATTAAAAATAGAATTGATGATTCCCTGAATGGCATTTTTTAAAAATGCAGGGATATTGGATGTATGACCATTTCCGTTTTTGACTTTGGTGGGCAAAATATTAAGATGCACTTGGGAAAAGCCATTTTTACAGTGTCCTCTAAAATTGTTCACTCTATAGAGGATAGACTTATTTTCATGTGTTTGTAGTCTTATTAAACCAAATTAATTAGCTTCTTGTAATGTATTACTTTTGTTACATATGTAATTTTTTTTATATTTACATTCCCTACTCTCTTGTTTGAAAATCAGTAATGTCTATAGATTCAAATATATTGAAAAGCAGGCAACATTACAGTTTAAATACAGCACATGCATTAAAGAAATCATCAGATAAGCAAATATCTTACTATAGATCACTTAATGTTAAGATACATAATTTAACAATTATATACTTCAAAAAAATTTATTTGAGCAGTAAGGTGAAAATTGGTGGTGATACAGGACAGGTGAGCCCCAAGTTGGGACTTAGCCTGCAAAGGTTCTTGGCTTTGGCCAGAAAAGAATTCAAGGATGAGCTAGTGGTTGGGTAGAAGAAAACAGCTTTATTGAGGTGGCAGTGTTACAGCTCCATGACTGATGTTATAGAGCATGGCTACCCCGTAGGCAATGTGCTGAAAGTAGCAGCTCAGGGCAGTTTTGCAGTCACATTTATACCTAATTTTAATTATATGTAGATTAAGGGGGGTAAATGCAGAAATTTTTAGGGAAGGGGAAGTAACTTCTGGGTCATCAGGTCATTGCCATAGACAGGGGCAGTAAATGGCTGTGCCTTGCCATGGCTATGGTAAACTGATGTGACACCCTGGTGGGCATGTCTTATGGAAAGCTGCTTCCACGCAGTCCCTGTTTTAGTTAGTCCTCGATTTGGTCCAGTGTCTGCACCCTGCCTCCAGAGTGAAGTCCCACCTCTTAACTTCAGTGGTAATTAGAATTAAATGTAACATTCATTGCCTTCAGTCAAGAAAAACCAACTGACTGCATAATTCAACCAAATGCGTCTTGCAATTTTTAGCCTCTGTGTTTCTTCTAGAATAATTCTGTTTTATTTTAGTTTGACAATAATAAGGAAGAAATAGTGGATTAGAATAACAATGGTCTACCTTCTTTGGAGCACTATTATTAGAACTTTCACAAATTGGTAACTGTGGTCAAGTTCTCAAGGCTTATTGGTATTTTCATAACTTTCACATAAGTATATAAAATTACTATATTGAGTAAGGCCTGTTTTTCATCTAATATATCTTCACATCTCTTTCATACTAATGGATGTATTTGGCAATAAGTATATTCTCTTCTAAAATTCATCAATTATCACTCAAATAAGCTATTCAAATACCTTTTTAATTTTCACTAATAAGATGGTGTTAACATAAATAAGTAACTTACTCCATATTAAATTTATTTTTGCTTTTGTTTGTGCATAAATTCACTTTATGTAATCTTCAATAAAACCCTTTTTCTGTTATTCCAGAGATAGATATCTGAATTCTACCTAAGGCCTTCATGACTCTATAGATTGCAAGCATACTTGTTTTTATTCTGATTCTCCCAGATTTTCTAATGTTTTCCCTTCATTTTATCTTCATTTCTTTGCTTCTATTTCTCTATCTAAATAATTTTTTCTTTAATTCTATCTTTAATTACACATTTTCTTCAGAGAATATTGAGTGTATCTTGGCTTGTTCCTAAAAGTAAGTTAATATTTTGTTTTGAGACCTTGACAATTTTTACTAAATAATTCATTAACCTTTTAATATTTATAGCAGCACAAATGAAGGTGACTACTTGACTTTCAAAACTCTTTCTATGGATCATAACAGATAGTGTGAAGTCAATCATCCTACATATAAAATTTGGGTTACTTTTTATCTAAATGCATTTCCTTGCCATCACCTACATGGAAATTTATTTGTCAATGAATGTCTATTTCTATTCTTCTGTTCCTCCTGGACAACATATCCCTTACCAATTTTGAGGAATAAATGGCTGATTTTATATTCTCCTTCCATAATTTACTCCCTGGAGAACTGTTGTGATTGTCACCAGGAATCATCAGTTTTTCAGCGCCTATTTAAGGATTCCATAAGAGAAATTGAAGAATGGGACCTGCTTTTCCTATTTTTGTGAATGAAAGTGCATTCAAGCACTAGCTAGACCATCCAACTGAGACATATTCTACACTTCAGTGGTCCAAATTCTGTTCCTTTTCTTAGATAATCACTATATATATATTTTTTTTCCATTAATATGGAGATAGTACAAGAGTCAAAATTATAGACTTGCTCAAATTAGTTATTTTTGTTAAATTGCTATACATCAACATAATTTGAAATTTATTGTAAATTTTATGCAGCTGTCAGTCAATGTTACTCTGTGTATATATATTTTCTTTCTTTTTTTTTTTTTTTTTTTTTTTTGAGACGGAGTCTCCCACTCTCTCCCAGGCTGGAGTGCAGTGGCGCAATCTCGGCTCACTGCAAGCTCCACCTCCTAGGTTCACGCCATTCTCCTGCCTCAGCCTCCCGAGTAGCTGGGACTACAGGCACCCACCACCACGCCCGGCAATTTTTTTGTATTTTTAGTAGAGACGGGGTTTCACCGTGTTAGCCAGGATGGTCTCGATCTCCTGACCTCGTGATCCGCCCACCTCGGCCTCCCAAAGTGCCGGGATTACAGGCATGAGCCACCGCGCTTGGCTGTGTATATATTTTCATAGTGCATTATCCACCTTTCAGTATGCAAAATACATGCACGTGCACTGCAGTTATGAAAAGTCAGCAGAATAAGGTAGAAAGTGCAAAGAATTTGATTCTATATCCAAGTTTAATTCTTAATGCCAAAACTTATTAGTTCTTGTTAGTTTTAGCAAATTACTTACATCCCTGGAGCCTTGATTTCCTCATATATATGATGTGCCATTATATTTCCACTGTTTTGAGGATTAAGATTAACCAAACATCTCCTCGTAGGTGCTATTATTATAACTGCCCAGTGTAAATGTAGCAAAACAACTAATGCTACATCTACTAGTCTCTTGAGAACATGAGTCAGGATTAGGTTCTAAGCATTTTAAAATGACAATGCTTGTTAGAAATAAGGGAGACTGCATGGTGACATAAGCATTTTCTAGCACTTACAAAAATGAAGAATAAAATGTGTTCTTATCATCTTCACTATCCAGATGAATAGTGAAAATTAAAGTCAGTCAAGGTATTATGATATAGATCAGTGGAAATGTAGTTCATCAAACACTAGCAATTAAGCTGTTAATGGCTTCCATTTAAAAACATTAACAAAAATGTCATATTCATATGAATTTTGGAAATATATTATATTCCTCTATCTACCTTGGAGACTGAATTTATTTATTAACAGGAATATTTTACTCAGTCTGAAATAAATTATCAAGAAGTGTAACTAGGCTTAAAAAATTATTAAAACTTGTTTGCCACATAACACCTAATTACTCATGATAGCACTATTTTTAGATGTGGCCTGGGATGTTAATAATGCTAATTAGAAAACTATTATTACACATATAAGTCTAATACTTTTCATGATATTCATGGTACATGGCAGTGATTAAGAAATATTTTTGAGTGGCTAAATGAATAGTTGGTACTATTTCTCTATCTACCTATTTATTTAGTTTCTATTATTTTAGAATTCACTAGGCAAACCATATGCCACACTCACAAAAATAAAAAAAAACAGAGAATCAGGGGTTTTTATGATTCAAGCACTTCATGAAATATATGAGTAAAAATTGTAGCATATAACTTCTCTTAGTTTGCATTATTTTGACATTTTTCTTAAGTCACTATTTTATAATACATAGATTATGCCTAGGCATATATTACATTGCATTTATTATACTTTTAATTTTTTATAAAAATACTACTCAAAACCAATTGCCCTACCTTGATGAACTTCTTTAGGTTTTAGTGAGTATGTACACTGCGATTTGCATTCCAGTTTCAGCAAAGGAGAAAAGGCAAGATGTAGTTTTACACAACATTTAACAGGACTATGTTTCATTACAGAAGTGGAGGAACTGACCTCTGGTATTAGGTTCTCTGAGGAATACTAAAAGTAAGAGAAGCACATTAATATTAAAAACATTTATACAACTTTCACACAGCCACAAAAGGTCTAAATACCTTTTTCTTTCTATGGTGAAGGAGCAGGACAGTAGATTTGTGACCTTCACTATTTACAACAAAAAGATTCTGTCTTCTACAACCTACTAAATTCACCATAAAGTTATGAACTTGTACTAACTGCTACAAGCCCTTTTAAAGTAAATTAATTAATCCTAATACTATCTAATAAATAGCAAAGGTAACATAGAGTATTTCACTCAGAAGAAATAGTCCCTCATGTAGAAGAAAATTTTAGGTAGAGTATAATAGAAGTGAATGCCATTCAGAGCTCTTTTTTCTTTTTCTACCTATATTCAGCATATTTTTCAAAATTTATATTCTCGATTGATGTACCAAGTTATATTTTAGAAATATCTTGGGCAATAGAATGAATAAATTTGAGATAGGAGGTATAATCATGAGATTTAAAAGTCTTCTTTTCTCCAACAAAGGAAATATATGTATACTATTTCATAAACACTGGTCATTCTCAACTTGCAGTGAAATGTTTTTGGGACAATGGGGCAATCTAATTTGCTTTTAGATGTAGCATTTTGGCTTTTACAAAACCAAGGTGTGTATCCATAGAATGATGTAATAGTCTGGAAGTATTTCTTTAATAAGGGATTTAGGCTCTGGCAGGACATACTAATGAGATAGTCTTAGACATAATTGATTCACTCACTGATTATGCTGCCCTTGTGCATCAGTGTGTGTGTGTGTGTGTGTGTGTTCTGTATATTTTATATATCATTTTTCTAAAATTTTGCATTATTTCTAAAATTTCTATAATGTCTGCATTGTTTCTTTAGTCTTCAGTACCATAGATATACAGAATAGATATTACACATTTTCTTTTGTATAAAAAAAACTCAAAGGAAGCTATTTTGAGAAGATTAATTTTAAGTAACATACGGATTCAGGAATTATACACTTTAAGAATGTGGTGATACTTTAATATCCCCAAAGTATTAAGCATAAAAAACACATTATCATTTCAATGTGTTTATTTTTAATTTGATCAACTGCATCCCCCCAATTGAAAAGTCCCATTGAGTATTTGAACAGCTAATTAATATGTAATTGTATAAAATAAGTGCTCATTATTTTAAAAAGGTGGGATAATCAAATGTCTGAGAAAACAAAAAATATATAATTTTAATAGAATGTATAGCAAATAAACACTTTATGTCTTCATAATTTATAAACCAAAAGAAGCATTTTATTTCTAGCTATAGAACAAACTTTACAAAGGAACTCATCATTTAACCAGGGACTCAATTTAACAGTGATACATTTGTCAATTAAGACACTAAAAGAAAAACTATTAGCATATTCTGTAAAATTCTGCAAGGATTTTTGGGAGAAAGTCAACTTGTATGGAGACGGTCCCTAAAATACCCAAAATAAAGTTGCCTAGAAAGATGAATCTGCTTTGTAATAACCAAAAAAGAATGGTAAGCATGATGATGGTTTCAGAAAAAAAGCAAAAGAAACAAAAAACCCAGTATGTGTACTGAGTCTTTAGGGAACAAAAGTAATAGACTGGCAGCCACAGCATATGCTTGAGTGAAGAATGAGTCAACCAGAATATTTCCATAAACCATAATTCCCTAAAACAAAAGTCTGGATTAATCAAGTCAAATAGTTGCACATCATCTATTTCTAATCATAAGACTCTTTTTTCGTTTTGGTGCTTAGTTGCCTCTCACACTGCAACTTTCCCTGGTGATTTTGAGCCATTGATTCACCAGTCCTCTACATTAAATGGATCTACCCAGACCTCATTGGCTAAGAGATTCCCAATGATCCAAAACTCTTCTTACATTCACCCTGTCCTCATCAAGAGACCGTATATGTGTTCCATTCTACTATTGCCCAATTACCTGTATCTCCCAACTCTAACTCCTAGCTCAATGTGTTAATTCTAATAACGTAGTTGCATTAACAAGCAATTAAAAAAAACTTCCTGGAAATGCAATATTTTAAATAAAAATAAACATGACAAATATTGTGGAAATTGTTGGCAATTTGATCATAAGTGGGAATGAAGAGGTCCTTTAAAGCCTTTCTCTAGGTTCCAAACCTACCCTCAAATGCTCAAGTAAATGAAATTTCTTGTGATTTTCAGCACTATAATCTACACATCAACCATGAAGAGAAGAGTCTTCAGCAGAACACTCTTCTGAATGTTTTAGTGAATAGTCTTTAAAAGCACTTCTTTAGGATTTTTTTTTTTGATTATTGATCCAGGCTTACATTTTATTGGGATTCATAAACTCTACACACCGACAGTGATCTCCACTGCTGAATAACAGCCTCTCTATGTATTAATCCTGACTTTAGAGTTTATAATATAAGAATTGTTAATTTTGTTTTTCTATTAGAGGGGATAATTAGATTGTAAGCCAAAGAATACCTAACTCTAAAATGGTGAATAAATATCAAAGTATATACTGATGATGATAATATGTTAACAAAGACATTTTGAATTTCGTGAATGTATTGATTTTTATCTGCTAACATAATAAGTTCTGCTAAATATTTAAAAGACCCTTTATTTCCCCTCAAAAAAAAAAAAAACAGTATGAGGAGACAATACTACACTCACCACATTTCAGCAGCATGTTCAGAAAAAAAATGCAATTTACTTTCAAAGTTAATTTATTTTTGTTTTATAAGTGAGGGAATCAAAATGATCTTTCTTTTGTGATATCCACTAGGGACAGGCAAAATGTTCTTAGTTTATCATAATTATTCTGCAAGAAATTTAGCTTTCCCTTAAGAAATCTGTTAAGAAGAGGCACTTAGCTCAAAGTGGCTGAGTCATATGTCTCAGGAGGATATCCCAGGGAGTGTGAACGAAGCAGATGTTTCCCATCTTCACCCACTCCTGAAGTGCTATCATTAACACCCTTACCAATCACGTGCTGTAAATTGCAAGCATGCTCCATTTAGTTCATTTTCTTGGATAGGTATTTCAATTTGAAAAAGTGATATTCCACATGGTCTTTAATTTTACTTAGGCTTCCTGGGAGCACTTTCCTTTGCATGTGTGTGACTATTTTCCATGAAAATAAATGAAATATAGCCATGAATATCAATAAAGAAATAGAATAATACAGCAATAGATATAAATGAATAGAAACACATTATTTGCTAAAGTATTTTTATAGTGCATATTGGAAAGAACATTATTCACCATACACAGTTATTTTTCCTTTAAGGTAATTTGACCAACAATGGAATTATAATTAAAATATTTCTTAAATTTTGGTCTCTTTTATGATCTTAAAGCTTAATCTCTCTGAATGCAAAGTATTACATATTTGTAAGAAATATATATACATATATGATTACAGTTAAAATTCTGTAGCTTGCTCATGGTTACTAATGAAGGGTAGCATTTTACACTTACATATGTTTATTTGATGTAGAATGTTTTTGAGAGCTTTTTAATAAGCCGTGTGTATAGTCACATTAATTCTTCAATACCTCGCCTAAGGGCAAATAACCAAAATTTTATTTTATTCTCCCTAAAAAGAGAAAGGAATAATTATAATCAGGCTGTGAACTGATTAGAACTCTCAAATGACAATGCAGCATAGGACTTTATAGTTCTACTTTATGAAGAAGTTTTGATTACTAATGGAAGAGAGAAAGAAATGAGAGACAGAGATTGCAAATAAAAGAAAGCACAATTTTAAATAATAGGCATATAATTATAATTTCTAAAAAAGTATATATTCACATATATGATTTCCTTAAAATTTGTCTTTATTTAAGAATAATGCAGAAAAGTCAAGCGGAAGGATATTATTTAGGATATAAAAATTTCAAATGCTCCAGACAATTAAATGTGTCGTAGAGTCTTAAAGAAAATGACACCGACAAATAAGAGTAACTTATAATTGCCCAATGTAATTCTACTAGTAAAGTTCTGGGAAATAGGATATCCTTTATGATAATATTAATATTTTACTTTAAAAATATGTATAATTTTATGTCACTAAATGAATCCCAAAAAAATATAGTGCAGAAGTCTAATCTTCATGTATGTCACACACTTTTAACTCAACATTGTCTGTTGTCTCTTGATACTGCTACTTAATTTAAAATAATGCTGTTCTAATTTTCTGAGCCTTTGGCTTACCTAAGCAACTTATTGACCTAATCTAGATAGGATGTTAATAATAATCATGTCTACTTATTTTGTCTATACATTTAAAAATAATGGTCTTAAATTGCTAACACTTACTCACAAGTTAGAAAAGTGATTATTGTCTTAAAATATTCCATGTGATGTGTTGTCTTAAAACATTTCATGCGGAACCCAGATGTATTTAGACTGCATCTATGCATAGTCAGTTTCTTATCTATTTTGCTGTCTGTTCTTTCTCTTTTCATCTTCATAAATTATTTAGCAGGGATAGTAGAGGTAATTGTGTAGCTGGGGAGCTGGAACTGATGAAAAGCAACAGTGACATTTTTAAAAAAGTTGAATGCTCCTATATTTCAAAAACAACTATATTTTGGAAATTCAAAATAATTCTTAATAATGGAATTAATCATTCTGTGTTTTTCCTATTTCATTATTTCCATTAACTGAAATAACTGAAGAATAAATGTGAAAATTAAATGACAATAATTTGTTTCTGATATAGACCTATAACTTGTTTCATCATTTTCTTCCTGGTGTAAAATTTCTGTTTTATTTGAATATTTCTTGTATAATTTGCTTCCCTACATTTGGTAAGCTAATATTTAAAAACTTCAAGAAGCTCCCTTTTATTTTCTTGGTTTTATATGTTTACATAAAAATGATAAATAGCCTCATTTTTCAAACAAAGAAGACCACATTGTACACATAACATAAATAAAAAATGGACAGAAAAGCCTGTCTTGTAATCAGTAATGCAAATTAATTATGTCACATTTCATATAAGGAGACAAAAATGTTATAATAATACCAGGATTAATAATAGATCTGTTGACATGAGAGGAGTTTACATTGATTAATACCCTCCTGAGTATAATTTTAAAATATGTATAAAAGCCTTAAAAATATCATGTCCTTAAGTCAAGGATGTCTGTCAGCCAGATCTGAGCATTTCCATTCATTGATTTGAATAATTATCAGCTTTCTTTGGTGATATAAAAAGTAGTAGGTAGGAAGATGAAATTAGTGAGTAGAAAGATGAAACTGCTTGTTTAAATCACAAAGCCGTGATCAGAGTTAAGATCATCTGATTCTTGGCCAGGACTTTTTAAATTTAGTTAGAATAAGAGAGCAAACATATGATGGGAAGAACAATGCCAAAAAATTAAATTAAAAAAATGTTTAAAATAAGGTAGCAATCAACATGAAAAATGTAACAAGATAATTGCTGAAAAATAGTTAACAGAAACAGATGTCTTTTGATGATTTGAAATATTAATGCATGATTATTTTAGATTCAGGCATTAATTAGGATGTCTAGAACAAGATTTAAATTTTGTGATAGTAACTTATTAGGTTAGGGGTTAGTGACTTGGTAGTAATTTGAATTTCTCATTACTGTTGAAGCCTTAGAATGAAGTCTTTCTATTTGTTATCTTCCTATTTCTTAGTTTGTCTTCCTCAAATACTTTTTTGAGACGTATCTTTATTTGTATATAGAATGTAGATCATGGTGGGAAGCATAGAACTCCATTCTCTAGCCACGACAATGAACAATGATGCCAATCATAGTGTTACATCCCCATCACTACAGTCATTACTCCAGGGATATGCTCGTGATTCAAGCCAGTTAATCAGTGATGTATTTCTGCTTACAGAAGTGTCATGAGGTAAGACTGAAGATGTCCATTTCCAGGGCTCCAGTCTTTGGAGAAGGTGGTCAGAGAGAATGATGCTGAACAATTTTGAGAGTATTTGGAATGAAAGCAAGGGAGTGATAGTATATATGTCATTGCTTCTGTTTATGTTTAAGTGCAGTTCTACCTACTTCACAAAATTTGCATTTTCACCCTCTTGATTTATACTTATCTTTCTTTCACTCAAACACAAAATATCCTAATTGACTGCATGAGTCTCAACTAACTCTGGTAAAGGAGGAAAGAATGTATATTACATGAATATTCATTCTTTCTGAACTTGGTTTTTTGTTTGTTTTAGTTTTAGTCAGGAATATCTAGATTATCAGAGCTATCTATAGGCAAAAGTAACAGAAAGTTGGTGGGGTTTTTTGTTTTGTGTTGTTTTGGAGAATCTCCCCTGTCCCTCAAGCATCCTTCTCTCAGTTTTGTATGCTCTCCCAGTGACCTCAGTTTGCTGATTTGCCCGCTCAAGGACCTCAGGTATGAGAAACATTAAAATTTTACAAATATGCTATGGCTGCATTCCCTACAATTATATAATTTATATATATTTTTTTCATGCCATGTTTACCTACTTCAAGCAGGTATATTAGAATTAAATTTAAATGTTAATTAATATTAAATACTCTTAACTATTAACGAGACTGGCATATTACCTAATTACTTTATCATTCCAATCAAAATTAATCTTTCTCTCTCTTTTTCTTCTCCACCTGCCCTTTCTCATGGTGTTTCTTCTAGTTGTTATGATGGTCATGGTCCCTGGAATTTAGACATCTAAACTGAAGGAAGTCAGAAAACCTGATAATATTAAAATCAAAGATGACAGGCTAAAATTATTTCTTGGTGGAATTTGTATTTTAAGAGCCAACTTAACATCCAAACTCTAAGTACTGTATTGCAATGGTGGCATTTCTGACACTATTGTAACTAGGTGGATAAGATATTTTGAGTGCTACAATGAAAATTATTTTTTTCTCCCTTCACCAGGACAAAATGAGTTTGAACCTTTTGGATATATCTCAGATAAAATTTAAACAGATTCCAAGAGTCTTAGAGCTAAAAGAATTGTAGAATTTGTATGTGCTACGACTTTATCACAAAGATAACAACTCTGACAAGTAGAGAGGATATTTAACAAAGTTTCACAAGGGTCTTGCAATCTGGCTTGGGACTTCTCCCTTTCAGTATGCTGCCAGTTGTGAAGTAAATGGAAACAGATTTGGACCGGCATTGTGCTAGCAAGGGGTATATGTTGTTGAATACTTACATGGGAGCCTAGCCCAGAATGTCCTCATACTCACATGCGTTTGGGAAACCACTATCTATTTATGCTACATCAACAAGCATTTTCACTCTCTTGTATAACAGTATAAGTATAAACTGCTCATAATTATATTGGCATTATCATTGATTTGCATTTTGTTGTAATCATGCGTAGTGATTTTATTTTAATGTTTTAGGTATTGTTAAAGCAAACTAAATTATATCCTGAAAAGGACTCCTGTACATCTATATCTGAGTCCCTGTGGATGAACTGTAACATAGCTTAATAGTCAGACAAAATTGAAAACCTAACTTAATAGTATACGCCTGTAACAATAGCTGAGTGTTGGCCAATCCTAGCAGCCATATGTCGACCACTCATAGACTGCTGAATGTTCAAACTGTGTTCAAATAGGGCAAATGCCGAGCTGTAACCAATCTCGCTGTTTCTGTACCTCACTTTCAATTCCTGTATGTCACTTTACCTTTTTAGTCTATAAATTTGTTCTGACCATGAGGCACCCCTGGAGTCTCAGTGAACCCGCTGTGATTCTGGGTGCTGCCTGATTCGTGGATCATTCATTGCTCAATTGAACTCCTTTAAATTTAATTCAGCTGAAGTTTTTCTTTTATTAGTATCCAGGTCAACAATTCATATTGAGTGTCTTCCAATATGCATTTTATTGGGCAAAACTGATGGACAAGTGATATGGTTTGGATTTGTGTCCTTGCCCAAATCTCATGTCAAATTGGAGGAGGGGCCTGGTGGGAGGTGACTGGATCATGGGGGCAGATTTTCCCCTGCTGTTCTCGTGATAGTGGATGAGTTCTCATGAGATCTGATAGTTTAAGTGTGTGGCACTTCCCCCTTAGCTCTCTCTCTCCTGCCGCCATGAGAAGAAGGTGTTTGCTTCCCTTTCCCCTTCTGCCACAATTATAAGTTTCCTGAGGCCTTCCAGACATGCTCCTGCACAGTCTGTGACACTGTGAGTCAATTAAGCCTCTTTTATTCATAAATTACCTAGTATTAAGTAGTTCTTTATAGCAGTGTGTAAACAGACTAATACAACAAGAATTCTTATATTCCAAGTAGCTCTATGCTTCTATTTCATTTTTAAGTCAAAATTCCTATCTTAACTAATTTATGTAAAGGATGTTAATTTTACGACTACAATCTCGAACATAGTACAAGGAGGTAAGTACCTCAAAGACAAAGGTCAATTGGCTGAGAAAAGAAATAAAGATTAGGCCGGGCGCGGTGGCTCACGCCTGTAATCCCAGCACTTTGGGAGGCCGAGGCGGGCGGATCACGAGGTCAGGAGATCGAGACCATCCTGGCTAACACGGTGAAACCCCGTCTCTACTAAAAATACAAAAAATTAGCCGGGCGTGGTAGCGGGCGCCTGTAGTCCCAGCTACTCGGGAGGCTGAGGCAGGAGAATGGCGTGAACCCGGGAGGCGGAGCTTGCAGTGAGCCGAGATCGCGCCACTGCACTCCAGCCAGGGCGACAGAGCGAGACTCCGTCTCAAAAAAAAAAAAAAAAAGAAATAAAGATTAGAAATATCTTGAATGATGAACAGTGTTTCCTGAATAATGTATACCATCCCTGAGCAGAAAATAAATTGATAATTCAATTTTAAATGATGCATATATATGTGCATTTTTAAAATGTTGATGTGTTAGTAACATATCAAAAATATAAACCAGAACTTGTTAAAAAGACAAATAATAAATGAATTTTCATGTTGAAGCTGGGAAATAAAACAGATAGAAATAAAGTAGAAAATGAATTGAAAGAATGTTTTTTTTCTAAATTACCACTTTATCAGCTCAGAAATTTAAAATGAAAAAGGAGAAATAATAAATAGAAGTCTGTGTATCATGAGGAAAAAATTCCCTGTATTTCAAGTGATGAGTGATTAACAACAAAGATAAATTATACCATAATATTCTAGGAACAATGGTATGTTTGGTACAGGCTGTACCTTCACCTTCAAAAGCATGTGCTAGGAAGATGCAGATCAACGATGTTGTGAGCAGCACACTGGTGCAGTCATGAGTGTCAAGACTGGTGGAATGTCAGGACGCTTTTTTACTTTCTTTGACTCTCTCTGGTACTCACACCCACCTACCCCCTAAGCCACTGGGTCAGTAGGTTGCAGAGGCCTCAGCACTGTTGTTTATAGGGGCAAGTGAACAAAAGGGTAAAAAAAAAAAAAATCATACAGTGAAGGCAGAGTCCAAGATCAACCTAAGAGGGGCGGGGGGAGGGAAGCAATCATAAGAAAATAGAGCTTATACTTAATATAAATTGAAAAAAAGGTCAGTGAATGTTTCTGATGAATATCGTATAAACACATAGTATTAGTTTGAAAGCATCATGATTGTAGAAAAGCAGAGCAATAGAAACTTCCTTATTGCTTTAGTCATGGTTCTTAAGAGAAACAGAACCAACAGGATATATAGATCTAGATAACTAAGAGGATAATTACTATTGTAACAGTCTTATGTGATTATAGATTATGGCAGAGAAGTCCTATGATATGCCATTTGGAAGCTGGAGAACCAGGAAAGCCAGTGGTATAATTCAGTCCAAGGCCAAAGGCCTGAGAACTGGGGGCAGATGGTTTAAGTTCTGGAGTCCAAAGCCTCAAGAACCAAGACCTTTGATGTATAAGGGCAAAAGATGACTGTTCCAACTAAAGAAGAAAAAGAAAATTCATCCTTTTCCTCCTTTTTGTTATATTCCAGCCCTAGATGGATTGAATGGTGCTGGCCCACAGTGATGAGGGCAGATCTTCCCTACTCAGTCTTTGACTCAAATTCTAATCTCTTCCAGAAACAACCTCAGATGCACCCAGAAATAATATTTCTGCTATCTAGGTATTCTTTACCCAAGTCAAGCTGACACATAAAATTAGCCATCACAGTAATAATATATTTGAGCTGCTGAATTAAGAAATGTGAGGCCTGCCATACCTCTGGATTCCCAAGTGACATAATAAATACTTTTACTTTAAAATTAGTTTGATTCAATTTTCTTTTAAATTCAGAGACATTTACTGGATCAGTGACATAATTATACGTTTTTATATTCTAACATTTCTGACTGAAACCTCTTTACTGCATAAACTGCTTAACAGTTTGTTATTTCTTCAAGGACCTCTTCAGTTTTCTCCTTTGATCTGCATTTCTGGGATCCCCTAAAGCAGAAGATGCTTTTTCTTACTAACTCTTCAGGATGGTCCTCCATTTGACCCGACTTCAGTGTATTGCATTTACTCAGATATAAACCCTGCCTCTGTTTCCTAGATTGTGAGATCCCAAGGGGCCAGGTCACTTATTTGTCATTACCACACTGATTTTCAGCAGGGTGCTTGGATTGACATTGCCTCAATAACTAGTTAAGTGAATAAATTGTGCAGTTACAATTAGTTTTGTGCCATCACCCAAATTTAATATTTCAGCATAGAGTTGGAGGCTTTGAATATTGTAACATGCTAGCTATTTGATGTGAAATATAATTGTGCACACTGGTGTTCGATAGGATCATGTCACAAGAGACTATCTAAAAACTACCAAAGAGCTCACGAAGAAAATACTATTTCCTAACAGTTATATTTTTTCTTTTTCTAGATCATCAAGTAGTCCTAGAGTTTATCAACATCTAACTGACCTCTGGTGTCACTTCTTTGCTATCCCCAATGCAGAGCAGGGGCATTGCAGGTGAAAGATAGCATATATCCCTTATTAATTTATTCAATAACATATTGGCAATTAAATTCCACTTACCAAATATCTATCACTCTCCCTATATACTAGATTCCTTGCTAGGTGATGAAGAATGTAGTGTAACAAGAACACGGTAACTTTTACTCTAAAATGCTTAAAATTTTGCAAGTAAATAAATACATAAATAAAAATAAAAATAAGAGTTAGGCAAGTCTTAAAATAAATTGAATTTAAAACAATGAATTATTTGCTGTATGTCATGCATTTTACATATGTTGAATAAAGAACAGCTTCTGGCTGATGGTGTGGGACTCAGGGTGGTAGCTCAGAAAAAAAGCCTGTATAAAAAATACATTTAAGAAGGCAGAGAAATGGATATGAACAGATGTATGGAAGTAGCAATAGCTATAATATGTTCAGAAAACATTAAATTATTTATTTTGAGCAAAGTGTTGTACAAGGAAGAGCTGCCAGATAAAGCTAGACAGATAGACACAAGCCATACTGAGGAGGGTATCAGTGAAGATCTTTAGGCTGGGTGCGGTGGCTCATGCCTGTAATCCCAGCACTTTGGGAGGCTGAGGTGGGCGGATCACCTGAGGTCAGGAGTTCGAGACCAGTGTGGCCGACAGGGTGAAATCCCGTCTCTACTAGAAAATATAAAAATTATCCAGGCATGGTGGTATGCTCATGTAATCCCAGCTACTCAGGAGGCTGAGGCACAAGAATTGTTTGAATCCAGGAGGCTGAGGTTGCAGCGAGCCAAGATTGCACCACTGCACTCCACCCTGGGCAACGGAACAAGATTCTGTCTCAAAAAACAAACAAAAACAAAGATCTTTAATTCTTTAACGCCATATGAAACAGGAGGCACTACAATTTTTTGAGTAGGATTGGGATTTGGGAAGTATAATGTGAAAACTCTTTGCAGAATAAATTGGAGTAGGGAAGGAAAGGAGTTAGAAAACTGTGTAAAGCTTTCATAACCACAGTCTAGGGAATATTTAGCAGGAGCAATAGCAGAGAAAAGGAAGCAACAGAGAACACAAATTGTTAGGGCCTTCAAAGTCTCGTTGATTTTTTTTTTCTGAAATTATACATATGTTTCTGTCCTCTGCATAAAAAAAATGATGGCTGATTATTTCTTTTTGGTTCTAGAGAGACGATGAAAATGGATATCCTAGCAGCTGTCTTTTCTACATTGAATACACATGTTGCCTGGTCTCTGGCAATCATCCAATCATCATCATGTCAGGAAGAAATAAATTATATGTCAAAAATGAGTCTCAGGCTGTGCTATAGATATTATCACATGGACTTTCCCCTCACCATATAAGACTTCTTTTCCCACTGGAGTAATTTAAGATCAACCCAGCACAAGACCAATTTATTGCAAAAAGAATGATTGCCTCATGATCCATGGTGCTATGCCCCACCTGGGACTTGTCAGTTCTTTACTGCACACAGCTGCCTAAGCATCTGCCTTAGCATCGCTAGTATTTGCTGTCCCTTGTGCTTCTCAACTATCTTCAGAAAGGAACGCAATATGAAATCAAAAGTTCCTGCAACATTCCCAATTTAGATAAACTGAAGGTTTATAGTTCAGTGCCAAAACTCTTTTGGGCTGTTCTGGCCAAGAATTTTTAATATAAGAATAAATCTACCCCTTGGACCAATGATGTTGATGCAAATAATTGTTGGGTTAGGTATATTTTAAGGACTTATTTTATATTTTTGATTCCTAATAGTATTTTATAGTAAGAAGATTTTTGTCTTAGCCCCATGAAATTCTCTTTTTGAATTCATAAATGACCAAATCATTTTCTTTATTTTGTCTCCAAACTTCCAGACTTCTCATAGTTCTTTTCACCTCTCTATCTTGCCTCTCCCAGACCTCTGGCCTGATATTCTATAATGTTTTTATTTGTGATTTCTTTCCACTATCCTAGCCTTTATGAACAAATAATCAATTTGATGACTTAGAAGAACTCAGTTAATAACTCAAATACATCTTATTAATTAAATTACAATTGGGCATGCGTCATTCTTAAATCTAAGATGAATAATTGAATTAAATGCAATTTTGATAATGTTTAAAAGTGAAGCCACCAGTTACAAAATGGTGATAATCTTTTGGAGCCACATAGCAGTAAATATGTGACTGTAAACACGTTCTACATGACTAAAAAGCTCCTGACCCTGTCAATGTGGGAGGACATAAAAAGCAATATTCTGCAATGAGTGGTGCTCACTCTAATCCAGTGTTTCCCAAACTATTTTTTTCATTATCACTGTGTCAGGAAAATTTTGAGATTTTTAACCTAATCAACCACCCCAGAAATTTTAATCCTATATTGCATATGTGTATATGTACTGTATGCATATCTGCACCTTCTAAATAAAAAAGCTAAAATTATTTCTACTCCTAAAAGCCAATTCATCCCCTTTGGTGGTATCTTCTTTACTTAGAATTTATGCACTCATGTAAACTTAGGATATGCTAGGACATAAAGTTCTATCTCCAAATCCAGATAATATAGAGTCAAAGATTTTTTGTTATACTGTGTGTAACTGGGCTGTGGGAAATGTAGCAATTACACAGGTGACAGAGGCAGATGGTACTGTAAGAACTATCAGGCCATGGCACTAACCTTGTAAAGTATAGGAAAACAATTACAAAGATCAACAAAATTAACCCCAATATAAATCCTCCTGGACTACAAGACAGGTGAGTAGTTTCATATCAAAACATCTGATCTGGCTATTGTTTGATTTTGTATGTATATATAAAGGAAAATCCTAAGACATCTCTGAATGTTCTATCAAATTATTTATTTTAGCAACCAGAAGACAGTAGTCTATGAGAATTAATAATCTATAAACACAGAAACTATAGGCATGACTTCTTCACATTTTATTGTTCAAGGGATAGATAAGTGGAGATGAGATTCCAGCAGAGTGTAATTTCAGTGTCCTGAATGACTGGGAAATATTGCCTTAGAGGCTGGAAAGCCAACTTGGCCAGCATCTACTGACATTCACCTGTTTTGTCTTTACCTTTTGTCAGCAGGGACTTCATTTGGGTAATGCTTACACAGTCAGAGTCGGCCAACATCTAGTGAGCTACTATCTCAAACCTAGATATTCACTGAAAGAGAGACAGGAAAGGCAATTCTACCTTCAGAAAAAAGCAATATGGAGTTAAAAGAACATCATGCAAGAAAATGAGAAAGAAACCTTTTTCCATAGTGAAAAATACTTTTCAGCTAAAAGAAAATTCTTAGAATTTTTGAAGTCCATTTTAATTATTGTATTTCTTCTAAGTTAGATAATGGCAATGTGGCCTTGTTAATCAAAAGTCATTGAACAGCTAGATATTAGCTGTTTCCTATTAAGAAAAAAATTAAGATGTTAGTTCAGAGGCTGCTCGTACATAGCCATCAGGGAATTAAATTGTTTTCATGTATAATTAAAAAGTGTGTTCTTCCATCAAGAAGAAAGCTACAGCTTGCATGCCAGTAAGTACTTAATTGGAAAGAAAATGGACCAAATAGAACAATTCTACTATGAGAAAGAAAAGTTGTGAGAACTACATCTGCAATAAATAAATATATTAATTACTCTCCTATTACTTTGAGTGTCTGTATATTAAGAATCCAGGCCAGGCGCGGTGGCTCATGCCTGTAATCCCAGCACTTTGGGAGGACAAGGTGGGGGGATCACCTGAGGTCAGGAGTTCGAGGCCAGCCAGACCAACATGGTGAAACCCCATCTCTACTAAAAGTATAAAATTAGCCGGACGTGGTGGCACATGCCTGTAATCCCAGCTACTAGGGAGGCTAAGGCAGGAGAATCACTTCAACCCAGGTAGTAGAGGTTACAGTGAGCCGAGATCGTGCTGTTGCACTCCAGCCTGGGCAACAAGAGCGAAACTCTGTCTCAAAAAAAAAAAAAAAAAAAAAAAAATCCAGTGAAAACAACTAACTTACTTTTCACAATCTTTCGGGGTTATTTTTAAAAATCACATGTTTAATCATTGATCTATCTCATTTTTTTCTGACAACTACTTGCAGCACGTCCTTTAATTCAATTGATATTCTTCTTATATCTTATTCAAAATTAAAGTCATAAATGGACTGAGGCATTCAAAACAGTGAGTTGCTACAGAAATAAAATATAAATATAAAGAAAAATATGATTAAATGTAATCAGATAAGATAAAATCAGCTCTAAACTTTTTATATTATAAAATTTACCACATTAAAAATGATAAAAATTAGACAAGAATATTTCATACTTTTTAAAAGCTATAACTCACTTAGACTTCTTTCTTTCTTTCTTTCTTTCTTTTTGAGATGGAGTCTTGCTCTGTTGCCAGTCTGGAGTGCAGTGGCACGATCTCGGCTTACTACAATCTCTGCCTCCTGGGTTCAAGCAATTCTCCTGCCTCAGCCTCCCTAGTAGCTGGGATTACAGGCATGTGCCACCATGCCCAGCTAAGTTTTGTATTTTTAGTAGAGACAGGGCTTCACTATGTTGGCCAGGATGGTCTCGATCTCTTGACCTTGTGATCCACCCACCTCGGCCTCTCAAAGTGCTGGGATTACAGATGTGAGATACAGCACCCTGCCCACTACGGTTTCTTTACAATCTTATATATAATCTTCTATATACCATAACATTTTGCAGAATTGATTACCAAGGTTTAGTTTAATACATAAGATGGTCAAGAAAATGTTTTAGCAATTAATTCAATATGCAGAGTATTTTATGACAAAAACGTCAAATATATATATGTGTTGTGTATATTCTCATATTTATTGTAATGTACATATAACATCTAAATAAAAGGGTAGACATTTGACAGTTTACTTAATTCAATTTACATCCAGAGAGAGAGAAATTAAGCTACTATTCATAAAAGTTTAATTCTAGAAACATTTACCAATCTCTGAACTTTGTGTGGACCATCATGCATTGGATAAATTCAGGTGACCAGACTGAAAAAAAAAGTATCTGGATGGATTAAAAGATAGATAGGTTATAGATGGGTAGAAAGAAGATAGATAAGATTTATAGAAAATGCAGAAGTTAAAAAAATTTAACTTCTAATTTTAACTTCTAACTAAACATATTTAAAAATTTTTATTGTTCTCTGAAGAATTTTAGGTGCTTTTTCCTCAGTAGGGATGCTAATCTATTCACCACAACCTCTTACCTATTTCTGGCAGTCTAACCCAATAGTTCATATCAGATTCTTAGCTCACATTTTTCCCTAACCTCCTCATTCTCGTTTACACTTTTTTAAATATAAAAATAAAGTTGCTCATTCATGTTTAACAAGAAATCTATCAATGACATTTCTGATTATGTTGTATGGCTAAGTCAATAACTTTTCCTAGGAACAAAGAGGTTCGTACTTATAAAGAGAAGTCTTTAGTTGTTTTGACAGTCATAAGGTAATTAAAGGCTAAGAAAAATACAGATTTCTAGTTTGATTCAATAAGGATGAGGAACATCAGTATTTTGAGAAAAATCTTTATTGAAGAATTGCCAGCTATATAAATGTCAATTGCACTGGACCTAAATTACATTCTTTTAACTATATGCAGATTGCTTAAATTCAATAGTCAAATGTGTAATTGTGATTCTGAATTGAGAAAAATTAAGTTTTTAAAAATGTCTTTTGAAATGCAATTTGCTATGTAAAAACTTGGAATTGATGTTTAAAATAGTGACAAAATGAACAAAATATAATAAAAGCTATGTAATACACGATAAAATTGGTGATTTGAGGGGTAACAAAATTTTTTACAAAATTAAATATAACATCAAAAATTACCAAATAATTTAGAATGTACCACACTCACATTTGCAGTCTTGTAGTCAAGTAAATGGAGCTTCTCAGTAAGAAATTCATTAAATCTATTTGATCCCTAGCTATAATATTCTATTTTTCTTCTCTTTGTCATTTAAATTATACCCTGTTGTTTAGTGCAATTGTACATAAAATGTGCACAGTAACTTTCAGACCATCTGTTATTGGTATCTGTTTTGTTTCTTTCTTTGAAATTATAATAACTGTCATGAATTCTGAAATGGAGTATTCTTCTGGCCTTCTGGTTAAGATCATTCCTACATCTGCTCCCAGGAAAACTGAAGTGAATACAGCATTGAATGAGCTCTGTGATCAACTATGGCTCATTTATTTCTAACTGTTATGACTAGAGGTGTGTCTGAAATCTTGGTGCTATAAAAATGCTCTAAAGATAGCCCTTCATAGAATTGCAATATTAATAACACTCCTCTTTACACATGATTGACCAGGAAAAATTGATTCGTTTCTTTGTTTCTCCCCACAATCTTGAATCATTAATACCTGTGGTATTTTTGCCTCCAGGAACACTGTCCATCAATATACATACTAAGAAAAGTACCCTAATTATCGCTATTCTTTAAAGACTAAGTACCTTCTTTGAAATAAGTTACTTTTCTTGGGAACTTTAAAGAGTATGTCTCTTTTGGCTTAGTAAAAAGGAAACAGGCTTTAAGGATCCAGGATCTGAATGATAATACTGCTTGTTTCTTATTAAAAACTTACATCATCCTCAGCGAACTAACACTAGAACAGAAAACCAAACACCGCATGTTCTCACTCATAAGAGGCAGATGAACAATGAGAATACATGCACACAGGGAGGGAAACATCACACACACTGTTGGGGGATGGGGGCTTGGGGAGGCATAGCGTTAGGAGAAATACCTAATGTAGAGGACGGGCTGATCGGTGCAGCAAACCACCATGGCACGTGTATACCTATGTAACAAAACTGCACGTTCTGCACATGTACCCCAGAACTTAAAGTATAATAAAAAAAATAAACATTTATCATTCTAATAAATATATCTCATTAACTTTTGATGGCTTCGGCCCATGTTTTGTAAGAAAGTTAATCAGGCATAGTGCTAAATTTCTGGATTTGGAAGTGAATAACATGACAAAGTGGTCTGACTTTGTCAAGGTCCCAAGCCATGGTCACTAGAATTGTTCAGACTAGAAATAAGTTATAGTTTCATTGTGGAAGTGTTTAGCAGAATTTGGGCACATAGAAAGTTGACTCTTTCCAATTCCTTGATTTTCACCCTTCGGACATAATCCGTAAGCTGGAGAAATTGGGCTTGATGTTGCTTATTAATTAAACCAAGATAATACTACTGCATGTACTCCCATTGTTTGGTAGTAGATTGCAGTTTCATAGTTCAACAGCGTGGGATATATATGAAATATAGTATGATCTTAGTTTTGAAATATACATGCCACTTTCCATACCCAAAATAATCATGTCAGGAATTGAGATTCCTCAATATATTTACCTACCAAACACACTTCACCTTCAACTTAGCCGATTTATTCAGCTGTCACTTTCATAATCAAACATCTCCCCTGCCCCTACAGAAATTCACATTTCCAAATAGCATTTTTTTCATCACTCAACCTGAAAACAGACACAAGTATAAAATAACTACGTAGAAAAACAGTCTATTTTTATACTAGGCTAGTCATTACTAGATGATATAAAACAATTTGTACACAATGCAACTTACACATTGTAAACATAATTTATTTCATCTGATTACCTCTTTAAGGAAAATAATTTTGACATATTCTGGTAATAGATGAATGTCTTCAGACAGCATCTTTGGATTACAGTTTTATTGTCTGTCTTGCTGAGGATATTAATTGAAAATTTTAAAGTGAATGCCTATGTTAAAAATCAAAGTACTACAGCATATTAATCCTGATTCTCACATCTCTTCTCAAATTGTTCCTAAAATTTTTCCAATGTATTGGATGTATGATTTACATATTAAGTGAACATAATACTTGCATATAGGGTTCAAGTTTTGACCAATGTTAACTCAGATGTATATCAAGGTAGAGAAATTTTCCTTCATCCCATGAAGTTTCCTTGCAAACTTTTGCTGTCAAATTTTACTTCAACTCCATTCCAGGCAAGCACTGATCTGATTTCCAGCACTATAGATTAATTTTTGCTGCTGCCAGAATTCTATGCATTATACAGTATGTGCATTTTGTTTCCATCATGGAAACTGTTCTGCATAAAGTTTTTGAAAACACTTATGCTGTCCGTATAAGTAGTTTGTTGGTTTTATTGCTGAATGTATTCCATTGTTTTATTTTCTATTACCTTGGTGATGAATAATGTTGATATAGTTTTCAAATGTGTTCGGTTATTTCTACTTAACTGTTGTGAGATATCTGTTATAGGTTTCCACTGGTTTTATTGGGTTGTTTGTTCTCTTAATATTGAGTTTTTAGAGCTCTTTCATAAATGATGAAAACTTAAATGATCTGAGGAGAAAACAGAATATAGGAGTTCTTTTTATATTTGTGATAAAAGTATTTGATCAATATTTTTATTGCAAATATGTTTTTCTAGCTGTGTGTTGTTTCATTGTCTTCCTGTTATATTTTGGAGAACAAAACTTTTCATTTGCATTAAGTCCAATTCATCAGTATTACCTTTTATAAATGAGTGTATTTTGTGTATGTGTATGTGCACTGTACAAAAATACTTGCTGTCTTGTGAAGATAATCTTGAAGACATTCCATGTGGTTTTTTTTAGAAATTTTAGAACTCTAGATTTGACATTTATATTTATAAACAACTATTGGTATGTGACATGAGGTAGGGACAATATGTTTAATATTGATATTCAGTTTGGTGAAAAAAAAATTTCTCTAATTAATTACTGTACTGTCTTAGAAAAATTAAATAATATTGTAGGTATGTGTGTATTTTCTATTTCTGGGCTCTATACATTTCCATTGATTTATTTGTCATTTTTTAGATGCCTATTTCCTTGATTAATAGTCTTGAAATCCAGTAGTTTATGCTCTTCGAGTTAATTTATTTCTTCTCTCTCTTTCTCTCTCTTTTCAAGATCATTTGCATTACTATGTAAGTTTGTTCCAAGGTGAGCAGGTTTATGCAAACCTATCCCCAAAGGCTGAGGAAAGTGAGAGGCCAATGAAGAGACTGACAAATCTAGTTTATCAGAAACATTTTAACAGGAAATTACAAACAAAATCCATATCTTGGGCAGCCACTAGATGAGATGGCAGATCCCCCTCACCATTGTCCTCCAGACTCAGCGATTATAGGTCATAAGTA
Source organism: Homo sapiens (assembly GCF_000001405.40). Classification (NCBI taxonomy): domain Eukaryota; kingdom Metazoa; phylum Chordata; class Mammalia; order Primates; family Hominidae; genus Homo; species Homo sapiens. Next base: position 192,986,448 of record NC_000002.12, read on the forward strand.
AAGGGAGTGAGTGCTTTTGAAGGAATTCGTAAGACAACTTTTGTATGAAGTGATTTGCTTAAGGGTAGGATTTATGGTAAGCACATATGTCAATGGTAAGTGTATATGGCAGATTAGCATCCAAGATGGAGTTGCTTTAGTCTCCACACAGTTTTAGAATCATCTTATCACTTACTACCAAAATATGCTGGGCTTTTGGATTAGGGTTGTGGTGATTCTATAGCTAAATTTGGAGAACATCTTAAAGATATACCTTTTTCCAATCTATTAGCATGGTAGTTTTCCACATTTCTTTCTTTAAATTTTCTTTGTTTGTCAGCATACTTTGAAACTTTTGATGCTGTAGTAAATATTACTATAAAGTATTCTTGCACCATTTTGTTACTACTTTATTGACATCATAAAGTCTTTTTGTATTAAGTCATTAATTTTAGTAGTTTTTTTTGTAGAATCCATATATTTTTTCCAGGCAAAAAAATAATAATCTCTGCAAATAAAGACATTTTTACACCATTCTTTTTAGGTTTTATGCCCTCTATTGTTTTTATAACCATATTATTGGCTAGGAATTCAGTACACTATTGAATAAAAGTGGTGAGAACAATCATTTTTGAATTGTTGCCAATTTTAGAAACCATTGAGTCTTTGGCTATTAACTATAAGTTACTTTTAGGTTTTCAGAAGTCCATTATAAGTTTGAGGAAGTTTACATTTCTAGTTTTCTGAAAGTTATTTTCATGAATGCATAGCGTATTTATTCAAATGTAAAATAAATTGGAAAATGTTCCCTTTACCGAAAGAGTTTATCTAAGATTGGTATGATTACTTCCTCAGAAAATTTTCATAGAATGCATCAATGTAACCATTTGGGCCTAAAATTTTATTTTGCCAGATGTATTTTGATTATGAATTCAATTAATTGAATTAAATGAAATGGAATTGAAGAGTTAAATAGCTCTTCAATTTTTTCTGTTTCTATTTGAGTCATTTTTGATGAATTGTTTCAAACTAACATCCATGTTATCAAGTTTATTGGCAGGAAGTTGTTGATAATATTCTCTTATTATATGTAATTTCTGATTGATTTGCAGTAATACACAGTGTTGGTTCCTGATATTTGTAATATATGTATTGTCTCTCTCTTTTTTATTTCCCAAGTCTAGGATGGTTTATTAATTTTATTAATGTCCTTAAAAAAATAAACTTTTGTCTTTCGTAAATTTCTCAATTGTCTTTTTTCTATTTCTTTGATTTATATTTTGATCTTTTTGTTACTTCCTCTTCAAGAAACACTACTGTTGATCTCATTTATGTGCTATCTCTTTTTCTCTGGATCTTTCAATATTTTCTCCTTATATTTATATATGCCTAGATATGTGTGTGTGTGTGTGTGTGTGTGTGTGTGTGTGTGTGTGCATGCATGCATTTAGATTTATCCAGCTTTGAGTGAATTTTTACTTTGAGTGTGTTTGTACTGTGTTGTTTCATTGTTTTTAAAATTTGTTAAGTTCAGGCTTTCTCAACTTCTTACATCCATGTCAATGTTTTTCATAAAATTTGAAAAAATTTTCTTTTCATATTTTCAAATAATGTTTTCTCTCATTGTCAATCTTTTTGTTCAAGCCTTTTTCTTTCTATTCTTCATATTACATATTTTTAATTAATTTGTTATCAAGGTTATTGACTCTCTTCTGCCATTTTCAATTCACTATTAAGTCAACCAGTGAAGTTTTCATTTTAGTTATTGTAGTTTTTAATTCTAGAATTTAACTTATTTTCTTATTGTTTTACTGTCTTCTTAGAGTTCCTAAATATGTATTCATTATGACCATTTTATTCTTTAATTATTTGAATATAAATTATTTTTTCTCTTCCTTGGCTATGAATCCCGTTTTTCTGTTTCTTTGCCTGCTTGGTAATTTTTTTGCACTGGATATTTTTCATTATATGTTAGTAAGATTAGGAATTTTTATTTTCTTTTCGAAAATATGGATTTTTGTTCTTAGTAAGTACTTCAATGGCTACTTGAACTTTTGTAGGCTTGGTTTTATAAATTAGGTTATGGCATATCCAAGATGCTTCCCAAACATCTCAACCTCTAAACTTGATCTCTCAGTTTTAAGATTTGTTAAGTTGATTCTAAAGTAAGACTTACTAATGTGTCCTTATTATAATGTAAGACATTTCTAGTGTTTTGACTGGTTTCTCGGGGTGTTAATGATGTGTTAATTTTATGTCTATATTCTGGATAGACTGGAGTTCCCACTCTTTCCTATATTGCTTGATCTCTAGTGTTCCTGTCCTGCTTTCAAACCTGTAGTAACCAGTCTCTTGTAAGCTATTTATACTCACCCATGCTTATATACTGTGCAGTCCTCAATCAAGAGCACATAGTGAACCTCAACACAGAGCTATGGGTCTCTGCTCCATGCAGTTCCTTCTCCAGTTCTATGTTCCCTACATTCCAACTGATTTACCTACTCTGAGTTGAGATATGTGCCACCTCCACTTCATAATATTGCCACACTCAGATTGGACGTTAGCCACCTAAACCACAAATGTGCCAGGACCAACTGATGCTCACTTTATCAGTTTTCATCCTCTCATCATGGCAGAATTTCTTCACTTGTTTCATAGTGCCTAAAAACAATTGTCTTATATTTTTTGTCCACTTTGAAGACTTTCCAAGGCAAGAAGGCGAATTCGGTGTCAGTCACTCTATTACAGCTGGAGCAGAAATCTCATGTCATGTAAATTCTCTATTTCCATAAAATTACCTCATTCCCTGCCTCCTACAATTCATATCCCAAAATATATTTTTTAAATTCCAACAGTTTTTATTAAGTCCCTATGAATAGGCCAGTAAAATAAAAGTTTACATTTTTCTCTTTGGAATACTCCTCTTTGTTGTGTGAAAAGGGATTGAAAGTAAATGAACTTTTCTTTTTTTTATTATTATTATACTTTAAGTTTTAGGGTACACGTGCACAACGTGCAGGTTAGTTACATATGTATACATGTGCCACGTTGGTGTGCTGCACCCAGTAACTCGTCATTTAACATTAGGTATATCTCCTAATGCTATCCCTCCCCACTCCTCCCACCCCACAGCAGGCCCTGGTGTGTGATGTTCCCCTTCCTGTGTCCATGTGTTCTCATTGTTCAATTCCCACCTATGAGTGAGAACATGAGGTGTTTGTTTTTTGTTTTTTTTTTTTTTTTGTCCTTGCGATAGTTTGCTGAGAATGATGGTTTCCAGCTTCATCCATGTCCCTACAAAGGACATGAACTCATCCTTTTTTATGGCTGCATAGTATTCCATGGTGTATTTGTGCCACATTTTCTTAATCCAGTCTATCATTGTTGGACATTTGGGTTGGTTCCAAGTCTTTGCTATTGTGAATAGTGCCGCAATAAACATACATGTGCATGTGTCTTTATAGCAGCATGATTTATAATCCTTTGGGTATATACCCAGTAAAGGGATGGCTGGGTCAAATGGTATTTCTAGTTCTAGATCCCTGAGGATTCGCCACACTGACTTCCACAATGGTTGAACTAGTTTACAGTCCCACCAACAGTGTAAAAGTGTTCCTATTTCTCCACATCCTCTCCAGCACCTGTTGTTTCCTGACTTTTTAATGATCACCATTCTAACTGGTGTGAGATGGTATTTCATTGTGGTTTTGGTTTGCATTTCTCTGATGGCCAGTGATGATAAGCATTTTTTCATGTGTCTGTTGGCTGCATAAATGTCTTCTTTTGAGAAGTGTCTGTTTATATGATTCGCCCACTTTTTGATGGGGTTGTTTGTCTTTTTCTTGTAAATTTGTTTGAGTTCATTGTAGATTCTGGATATTAGCCCTTTGTCAGATGAGTAGATTGCAAAAATTTTCTCCCATTTTGTAGGTTGCCTGTTCACTCTGATGGTAGTTTCTTTTGCTGTGAAGAAGCTCTTTAGTTTAATGAGATCCCATTTGTCAATTTTGGCTTTTGTTGCCATTGCTTTTGGTGTTTTAGACATGAAGTCCTTGCCCATGCCTATGTCCTGAATGGTATTGCCTAGGTTTCCTTCTAGGGTTTTTATGGTTTTAGGTCTAACATTTAAGTCTTTAATCCATCTTGAATTAATTTTTGTATAAGGTGTAAGGAAGTGATCCAGTTTCAGATTTCTACATATGGCTAGCCAGTTTTCCCAGCACCATTTATTAAACAGGGAATCCTTTCCCCATTTCTTGTTTTTGTCAGGTTTGTCAAAGATCAGATGGTTGTAGATGTGTGTTATTATTTCTGAGGACTCTGTTCTGTTCCATTGGTCTATATCTCTGTTTTGGTACCAGTACCATGCTGTTTTGGTTACTGTAGCCTTGTGAGACTGGTTTCTCATCTGTAGATTGAGGCTCAAAATTTTTACATTACAGTTTCTATCTGTAAATTAAATTATGCATACATGATACATATTCTCATATTAAAATATAAAACAATAATATACCAGACACACATTAGGGATTCCATTAAATTAACTCTTTAGCGACATAGTGCTGGGCCATGGGCCATGGGATCCTTTGAGATTTGTTCTATTCCCCAGAATAATCGTCCTTAATGATTATTTTATAATGTTTACAGTTTACTAAGTATAATAAATACTGCTACAACATTTATAAAACTATTTTATGGCATAAGTATTGTTTTACTCACTTTAAAAATAATAGAATGGATGTTCAAAGCTTGCAAAATTTTCCAAAAATTTTATACCAAATAAATAGTTGCATAATACCCAAACTAATTTCCCTAGATTACCAATAGCTTTTCTACCCCTTCATTCAGACATGAAATGAAATAAAAGAAAGGTAAAATTATTAAACAGTTTCAAACACAAAATACCTGGTTTACTTTCAGGTAGAATTATAAACATAAATATTTTTATGACCATAATGTGACATTTCCTCTTACTTTAGAGTAGAATAAAAAATACAACCTTCCCCAGCTGAACTAGTGAAGTTAAATGCATGTCAATACTGTCCTCCTAGCTGAAACAAACAAACAAAAATCAGAAAATGAGAAGAAAAAAAAATACAGAAGAAGAAGCTCTGCTATTCAATGACTGTAGGATTCCTGAAAATAAATTTTAAAGAATCCAGAATAAACATGATAAGCATTTTACTCTATAGTGTCACTAAATCCAGATCATTTTAGCAACACTGGAGCCTAAGAAAGTTGTATCATATATATATATATATATATATATATATATATATATATATATATATATCTCTGAGGAGAACTTCCTCAAGTCTGTAGTCACACTGTGACAATGGAGTGACTAAGGCCACCTGATTTTGCTTTTGAAAACCAACTCAAATTGTCCAATTATGCAATACAAAGTTTGGAGTCAAGGTGTTCACATAGTATAATTTTACCTAAATTCTGATTCAGCTTCCTACTGTTTAATACAAAATATAATATAAATTTCCTAAGTGGTTAACATGTAAAATAGAAATAAAGGACTTATCAACTAATTGGGTAGTGTTAAAGTACTCATGCAATTTTGAGCAAACTGCTCAAATTTTATAACAGAATTTGATAAACCTGAGCACTTACTGGAAATAGGTAGGAATTAAGGAGCTACTGCAAAATTTTAGATGCTATATTATTAGGGTTATATTTTTAAGGCATTTTAAATTTATTGATATACATACTGAAACACTTAGAAATAAAATTATATGATGTCGAGAATTTGCTTCAATGTAAGCAGTGGCAGGGATAGGGAGTGAGGGTGGTGAAGATGAAACATGAACTGATAATTTTTGAAGTTGAATTATTGATCCAGAGCTGTTTATTGCATTATTTTTTCTTTTTGCAAGTTTGATATTTTCAGTAATAAAAAGTTATAAAATTATAAATGACAGTTTATATCCTCTCTATAGGTACTTTCCCTAAAAACTTAGAGATATATTCTTATTGTGAAATGAATACGAAGTATAAAGTAAGATGTATCTAAGAATATATAGGATAGGTAGTAACAAAAGCATAATTAAAACCAAGCACATCAGGAACATTCATATATCTAAGGCAAAAGAAAGATAAAATGGAATAAATGCAATTTTAAAAAGCTGGATAAAAGGAAAAAATTAAACTAAAATAGGTATAAGCAAACATACTAATGGTTCGGAGTAGAATACAGAAGAATATTATTCTGCTAAACTCCCACTGAGGCCATTTGGTTGCATCTCAAAATCATGAAATCCAGACTGATGAGATCATTTACTCATTGAGGCAGGTTGCAGGTGGCAGGGAAGGCAGGGTTAGTTTACCCATAATAGGCTCATTTTTGGACAAGGTAGGTGGTAAAAATCAAGTTTCCTGTTGGAGCGAGCTTTTATCCATTTTCTGACAATCACTATTACAATGGTTCTCTTTCTTTCTTTTAATCTCTCATGTACCATTATTCCATGTACCTTTGGCATTCATGTTTCCAGATATCTTCCACCCATTGAGTGTTGATATTTTGATTATTTCTTGTTTCTATGTATTTTGCCAAACATTGACTTTAATTATCTTTGCTGAATCTAATTTTCTTAAAGTGCTTATTTTTAACTACATGAGATGATTACGTATTATTTATCTGTCTTTGCTAGTTTTCACGTCTTCCTATTTGCTGTATTTATATTGTTATATAACTTTGCCCTTCAGAAAATAAAAATGTACTTGGTAATGCTTTTATTTTCGTAAATTGTTGCCAAATCCCATTGGGTTTGAGGTTGACTTGTTCAAAGGAATAAGTAATAATGTGGAAAATTATTCCTCATTGTGTCAGACAAATAGTGCTTTTTATCAATCATTGCACAAAACATTACTAGTATTAAATAAATCTGACAGTTGTGGTTCTCTAGATAATTTTCCAGTCTGAATTACACAATGTAAACATTCGCTGACACCATTGACTGTGCTTTAATTTGTAGACTTTGTGAAAAAAAATATATGAAGTCATTGTAACTGTTTTTTAAAGACTGGAGTTTCAGATATTTTAATAGTAATATATTCCTATGTAAAATTTTAGCATGCAGTTAAAAAGCCATGAGTATTTTTAAGCTAAGCCGATTTAAAATATTAAAGTATCAGATTTATCTCAAAGTGCTCATATTTACTCAATTTTTTTAACTGACAGAGGTGGACTTTAGGCTCCCTGAACCCTAAATATTGGATCTGAAAAAATACACATGCCTCAACAAGTAAACAAAACTGTATAAGAATTGATACTGAACGTAAAAACTTTGAAAATTCAACTACATTTAATATTAGTGACCTGTTTCATCCTTTATTTACTTGAAATTAATGTCAGACATAGCATGCAATATGCAGCTCAACAGAATTCTATCATAACAAGGAAAGAATGAGCACAAAATCTGACTCAAGAACATTTGTTTTTCCTTGTCTGCATACTCTTGGTTTTATAATGTATAAGATTAAATTTGAGTAAAACCATCAGAGATAGCCCACGATTAAGAGATCAGGCATTGGAGACAAATTAGAGTCTGTATATTCTTTTTTTCAGTATAATATTGTGTGACTTTGAACTATTTTCTCAATTTCTCTAAAATTCAGTGTTCACATATTTAATATACAAATAATAATAATGCGTAACAGATATACGTTTTTGAGGAATTATAAATCAAAATCTATCAAAATAGTGTCTGATTACATGTGAACATGTAATACTTGCTAGTAATTGTTATCATTATCATGTATACTAATACCCTAAAGAACCTTAAGTTATTAGTTAAAATTCCATGTGTGGCTATGTTGATGCTATAGCCATATACTAGAGACAGTGTTTTCTTAAGCTCCCAATAAAATTATTTTCTTGCACCTTATGAAACATTCATACCACACATTCACAGTCCAAGGAAGTTCTACTAGGAAAAAATTTTAAAGAATTATATAATAAGAGAGTTTTAAAAGCTATTCAAGTCTATTTTGGTATTCTCACTTGTGAAGGTCTCCTCTGTTCCCAGAGTGGAAAACTCTTGGAGAAGTGACAACACAGGAAAATGTATCCTTTCCACTGCACTTAAAATATAATTCTCTGAGATGTGCAAAAAGACCAAAAAAGATTAGATGACTGGAAATATTCACTACCTCCTGGTGATAAAAATTTTTTTTATTAATTAATAAAAGAAATACACATTAGTCTGGTGATGAGCTGCAAATATCTTCAAATTCTGGGACTAATTTCCCATTAGAACCTTAAGATGAAGAAAGTCTCAAAAGTACTCTGGTATTAGTGAAATGCAGCAGTAAATGTAAAGCTTTCATATTATTTTATTAACTTCCCTTTTGTTTCAATCTTTACCCTTCTTCTGTAAATATAAGTTTTTTCACTAGCTCATTGAGTATTCTTATTTGCCATTAGTAGGGGTGGAATGGAGCACATTATCACCTTTCCAAATTTGCTGAAGAAAACATTGTAAATAAAAGAAAAAAACATGAAGAAATATTTTCTAGAATGGGTGTAAGACAAGATAACTTGACATTAGGTAAATAGTAGTAAATATTTTTGTTTGATGAGAACAAAAACAAAAAAAGCTATAAAATATAATAAAACTCTATTTATGAAATATTCCAGCAGGGTATCCATTGATTGTGTATTTTATCCTTTGTTAGATAAAACAAAAGGATTCAGATTAAAAGAAAAAAAATTGGATATTTTAATTAGTCATTATAATGTATTTCTCAGCCTGCTATGTGGAGGTTGCATAACTGAATAAGAAGTAAGTATGGATAGTTATTTATAATATTTATTTCTTTATTTATTTAATTTATTTTGAGACTCGCTCTTTTGCCCAGGTTGGAGTGCAGTGGTGTCATCTCGGCTCACTGCAAGCTCTGCCTCCCGGGTTCACGCCATTCTCCTGCCTCAGCCTCCTGAGTAGCTGGAACTACAGGCACCCGCCACCACACCCGGATAATTTTTTTTTTTTTTTGTATTTTTTAGTAGAGACGGGGTTTCACTGTGTTAGCCAGGATGGTCTCAATCTCCTGACCTTGTGATCCGCCCTCCTCGGCCTCCCAAAGTGCTGGGATTACAGGCGTGAGCCATTGTTTATTATTTGATAGGGATATTTATGATATGTAAATTAAAGACAGCAAAAAAACTCCTAATAGAGAAATTTCTCTATTTGGTAAGAAGAAGAGTAACTTGAGGCAGGATAGTCTGATATGAAAATGTATCTGATTTTTTGGTGAGTGAAAAAGAAGAAAAGATTTAAAACAGAGTACATTCATGAAGGTAATGTTTGCTATGTGCCCACATGATAGGGCAGTCTAATCGAGTGATGATAATTGTAAAAGGTATTTAAATATCCTAAACATTGAAGAAAACATTTGGAACATAACTGAAGAATCAATGTTTTACATATGCATTTGTGAGTTTTATGTGTATAATTTATGATTACAAATTTTCTTGTACAATAAGAAATAAACCATATCCTGAGATTACAGCTTCAACAGATGGAAAGTGTACAAACAGCCCTTGAGGGTGTTTCTATACAGATAGAGGTGAGGTATCCTCTAATTACCTATTTCAGTTACTTCCAAAGCACACTTGGCCAGAAACTTTCACACATTAGAATTTTACAGATAATTTTTCTTTAAAATGAAAAATTCTCACCATACAGTACACCTATATAACTGAATTTTAAAGAACAAATAAATATTGTTTCTTATACTTCAAAGCTTTATTAAAACATATTAAAAGGAAATATATAGTTAAGATATAATTATCTTGGCTTTTTGCAGTATCCTGTTGAGAATCAGATGATAAATACTCATACATAGTCATTTCTCTATCACTGCAAAATATCATCTATTACCAACATTAACCATTCAATCGTTAGTCATAATAGCAGTGCTCTCATTTGAAGTGATCAATTGCTAATGATTTAAAAATTCAGAAACTCTGGGCTTCTTCTAATTATTAAGAAAATTATTGCATTCTGATGAAATGTAATGCACAGGTGTAAACTTAGAACATCATTCCGTAGAAATAATGTTTCTAAAGTAACTTGCTATTTAAATACTAATAATATGATAAGAAAAGATTTAAATATTGTCATATAAGTGTTAAGTGTTTTTCCATAAATGTGTACTGACAAATATTATAAAGAAATTTTAATTTAGGAAATGTAATAAATCATATGCTTATGATTAATGCATAAATGATAATGATAATCAATGATAATGATTAATGTATAAATGATAAGCATAAAAATATCAAAGCATGAAACAAATTCAGTTAAGATGGTCATTTTTATTACCTTAGTAATAGTAGAATTTGTAAATTTTTATATCACCTTCAGAATACTTTTTGCCAGAACATATTACTTTTGGAAAAATGTTTTTCTTTTACATTACTCTTTTCTGTCAAATACCTGGGAAATAGCTCTGTAAGTTTATTTAGAACAGAGTATATTTTGTTCATTTTTGTCCCTCTCAAAGCACCATAGATAAGATATTACAAACAAATGTTAAGTGATCCTTGTGTAATTGAATACATTTTCATTCAGTAAACATTTCTTTGGTGACTATACATAGCAGACACTGAAGATACAGAGATAAAAGGTAGCCATATCTCTCTAGAGCTGACAGTTAACTAATGATTAGAATTTCAGATATTCATTTTAATGAAATATAATTTTAAGTCATATAGATTTGTAGGCCATGTCATTTCTTAGCCCGGGGTTATCTTTTCAATATTTTCTATCAATTATCTGCTCTTTTTTCTCATTCTAAATTCTTAGACAATTTACTAGAATTCTTGATTTCAGCCTCCATCTGTTTAAAGATAACTCTCCACTCTTACAAATTTTACATCCTCTAAAATTAGGTAATATGTATAATGAAATACGCACAGTGCTGGAGATACATCTTGTTAGTTCTTTCTTCCTATTTCTTCACCAAAGGCCTAACTAGCTAAAATTTTGGATTTGTCTAATTCTTCAATGCTAATATCTTATATTTTACCCACTTAAGATTGCTCTGCATTTCAACACTGGGTACAATAATTGAGAAGGCCACAAACCTATCTTCTCTCCTAGGAGAATCTATAAAAATTCTCTTAGCTTAAACTTTGGTATACATGCCAGCTGACAAAGGTGAGGTAAAACTGTTCTTAATGTCTCTGAGGAATATCCACTAATAATATTGTTGCTGAACTCTGAAGAAATAAAACTTCTGTAAAAAAAAAAAGATTAATGCATCTTTATAAAGAACTGGCCAATTATCAGAGATTTAGTGTTACTTTTAGGTAAGGCATTTAAGAATTTCTAGACAAACTTTAATGTACCATTATCAAGTGTCAAACTAGGTATTAACTAATAAAGAGTTGTTAAACCAGAGTTGAACACTGAGCTTTCCTAGTGATATGATAAACAAAATTTTGTAGTATTAAAAATGATTTAGGTAATTTTGCCAAAAAGCAGTCATGTGGTAATTTATAACTTAAACTTGAAGCATACATAGTGATGTAGCAAGTAAAGAAAATGGACAACAGAGAAATATTCTTGATTTGTCCTTTACAGATGCTGTGCTAATACATTCTCACAGGGATTTGATGAGTTAAATATTATTCAGGATTTACAGGTGAAGAAAATAAGTGTCATAAAGAGTAAGCAATTTCTCCAAATCACACAGCTAGTAAAAGTTATAACCTGAATGAAAACCAAGGCCTGCCTGATTCTATAAGAAGCAGTGGTAAGAAGAGAGGTGAAGGCCTTACTATTTTTTTTTTCTTATGTTATGTGATGTGTTATTAAGGGGAACTCTTTCAGCAGGGCTACAATAAGCACCATAGTCTAATGATATATATTCATGGGAATGATATCAGAAAAAGGTAGAAAGATAGAGCAAGTAGATATGCTGTGACGATAACTTCACCTGTTTCAAAGATGCCATTGTTGTGTTGACTTTCTCAAAACAAATGATGATGCAGAGACTTTTTATAGGGCGCTGCTCTTCCCACCCTGCCAAAGCGGTTGTCAGAACTTTTTTCTCAAGGCTTATTTGAGGAGATTATTCAGAAAATAACTTACACTGGACGAAGAGGTTGCTTTGCTTTAAGATTTATAGAGGTTGTAATACTAAATAAATCCTGAATTTATAAAATAAAAATCAAGTAAACCATTTTCTATTTGCATACTATAATTAGAAAAAAATAGGATATTTTAACATTCTTACTGTGAGAGATGTTGTTTACATGTTTCTGGGTTTTCTAAAAATTAATCTCATATTACACACAATTTGTTTCAAATTAAATTCCTGAAATTGTAATTTGCTGCTCTGAGGACTTAGTTACTTGGTGCATGATATTGAAGCTAAGGCTGAACGTTTGATTCCTGACATGAGTCACTTGATGTTACAGAGAACATATGCTTGACCAGAGACAGCACTTCTCATTTTGCTTGATGGGTAGCCTAAAGGAGGATTAGATTAAGCCAGCATTTGATGAAGCTCCGTCTACTCTGGGGAAGACAACTCAAAATACAAGTTACAGCAATGGTGAATGAGTAGCAAAATATTCATAAAGAGATGTTTATTTTAACATTACACAAAATGGGATTTTCAATGATAGCTATAATGAAATATATTATTTGACTCCCTCACAATAATTCCCAAGGGAAAGTGAAAGAATATTTAATGGTGTTCAATGATTAAGGTATATAATTCTATAAATCCCAAAGAGTAAGACATAATCTTGTTTTTCACCTGTCAGTTTGAATATAAGAGGAGGCTTCAACTGGGCAATTCTTTCCAACTAAAATTTTAAAATACTTTTAAGAGAAAGCTTCTGTGGTAATCACAGTATGTTATAGCCCAGCGGTCACCAACCTTTTGGGCAATAGGGACTGGTTTCGTGGAAGACAGTGTTTCCATGGATGGAAGCGTCCCACCTCAGATCACTAAGCATTAGATTCTCTTAAGGAGCACGCAACCTATATCCCTTGCATGCCCAGTACAACAGGATTCATGCTCCTATGACAATCTAATGCTGCCACTGATCTGACAGGAGGTGAAATTCAGGTAGCAATGCTTGCTTGCCTACTACTCGCTTCCTGCTATGTGACTTGGTTCCTAACAGGCCAGAGACCAGTACTGGTCCCTGGGCCCCATTGGCTGAGCACCCCTGATACAGACTTTTTCACGTAAATAACATTTCCAATTTAAAATATTTTCTTAATTAAATGAGGACTATCCCAAATGCATCAGTAAATTCTTGCAATCCTGCACTTTTAAATTAGGTTTCTTTTGGCTCCAATTTTTTTTTTTGTATATTCAGATAGTTTCAGTTATTTCCACAGTTGCACTTCCTCAATATAGTGTAGTTTGCTAAAGTGTATATGGGAAACTACTAACATTTCTAATCTCACTTTACCCTTAAACTGTCATTAAAAATTCCTACCACAATTAGTTGTTTTCCAAATTAAGCAGATACCATATGTAAATTCATTTACCTTAATACTCAGAAATTAGTGGGCACATAATAAATATTAATTATCTGTTTATTTTATATAATATTAACACTTTACAAAGTTAAATTTAAAAACATCATTTTTATATTTAATGTCAGAATGTTGATAATTATAAGACAAAAGAATATTCTCAAAATACGGTGGCAATATATTTTACCACAAAATATTTTATTTAATAGTAAAATGTATGAATGAATAAATGAGTATGATCATATTTGTTCATGTATGTTTCATCATTTGAAGAAGTTGAATAATCTATTTTTCAACTAATCTATTTTTCAGTGTCTAAGAAATAGCCTAACATTTACTACAGTCATTCTTCACTTTATTGATTGGGAAAGATAATAATTATACTTTCTACTTCACTTTGCATACATCTTTCCCTAAATTTAGAGAAGTGCTAAATTTGGTAATCATTTCCTTGATGAGATGTAAGAAGTTAGAATGGTGACCAGTGTTTTCTAACTCTAAATTTAAGGAGACTTAACTTGCAACATTAAAACTCAAGAAACAGTAAATATTCTTATTGAAGCTGATAAGAATCAATAAAAGTGTTACTTGAACACAATATGCTTCCAAAATAATTAAAATATTTAATAGGAAATACTGTTTGATAAAAATGCTTACATGAAAAGCTTAAAAACAAAAGGCACTATGTCTACCTAGCTCACTAGATAGCTATTTATAAATGACAAAATGATTATTTATCATGTCCCCCTTTTACCCTTGTGTTAACTAAATTGGGCATATCTGATAAATTATTATGTATTATTTACTACTATATGTATATAATTACATTTTAATATTGCATATAAATCATTACTTATTTACAGGAATTCTTAACATACCTTTTGCAAGAATCCAAAGGCAACTGAAGTTCTTTTTAAGTAATTAAACTGAGCAAATAGGTAAAAGAAACACCTTTGCAATAAATGGTTAGAACATATTTGAGAATTCAAGTAATAGATCCAGATTCTGAGTATCTTTGTGGATAATCTGTCAGTTGTAATTATGTCTCCTCATTACTTTTTTTCTATTGTAGTATTTAAAATGTTTAGCTATTAATGTAAATTTTCTTAATACTATTGCAAAAATAAATTTCTTAGAGAGACACATTTATTTCTTCTTTGTATGCTCTGTACCTGCTAAGTATCCCACACTTAATAAATATTGAATGAACAAGTGAATTGAATGAATAAATTAGAACTTGGCTGACAATGTTATATGTTACTTCTTTGGAATGCTCTAACAGTCTTTTTTTTTTTTTTTTTTTTTTTTTTGAGACAGAGTCTCGCTCTGTCACCCAGGCTGCAGTGCAGTGGCGTGATCTCGGCTCACTACAAGCTCTGCCTCCCAGGTTCATGCCATTCTCCTGCCTCAACCTCCTGAGTTGCTGGGACTATGGGCGCCTGCCACCACACCTGGCTAATTTTTTGTATTTTTAGTAGAGATGTAGTTTCACCATAAACAGAAAGAAAGAAAGAAAGAAAGAAAGAAAGAAAGAAAGAAAGAAAGAAAGAAAGAAAGAAAGAAAGAAAGAAAGAAAGAAGGAAGGAAGGAAGGAAGGAAGGAAGGAAGGAAGGAAGGAAGGAAGGAAGGAAGGAAAGAAAGAAAGAAAGAAAGAAAGAAAGAAAGAAAGAAAGAAAGGGAAAGAAAGGAAGGAAGGAAGGAAGAAAGGAAAGAAAGAAAACCTCTCAAGGGTTTTTTGTAGTGTTTTCTGCTGATTTAACATGGAATTTTCATCTATAAGTTTAATGCCCTGACTACAGATAACTTTTTTGATGAATTCCCTGCAAATCTACGTGTTTTTTTTTTTTGCTTTATTTTCTTTGTTTTGTAATCAAGGAGATTATTCTAGAAAAATCGCCAATGCAAGAAAACTTTGTAATTCAGTTCAAAAACATGTCATATGTACATTCCTATTTGTGCTTGCAATATCAATAGCTTCAATATCTATTACTCTATTTCTTAGAGGAACAAGCATCAAATACTTATGAAGTAAGCAATTGATTCCCTAGAAGATGACAAATAGGGTAGAACATCTATATCATGGAAATACCTTTAGGTTAAAAAGTGGAAATCTACCTCTATGGAATAAGTTTAGCACATAAATGTCTTGTTCACATTCACCAGAATAGAAACTGGATTAAGTTAAAGGAGTTGACATTTCACAGGATGATTGCAAAATCACGAATGTAGGCCCGAAAAATATAGCTACAAAATTACTTGATAGGAGAAAAAAGACAAAGAATCCCAAGTGAGAGAATGATTTTAGTAAGTTCAATAAAAATTAAAAATAAAACAGTAAGCAGTTAATATAATTGTAGAAAGCATTGATGTAGGTGTGAAATATGAAATAATGTGTGTTTTTATTATTGTCTATGTAGTATGTTTCAGTTCTTGGATAATTAGAATATTCTAGTTACTGAAAAATTATGATTTGAAATCATATTTTATATGATGTGTACATATTTATAATATATATTTATAAATTCATATTCAAACATACAAATGTTATGATATGCTGACACAGTTCATTATTTTCCTTTTCAGTAATATGATATCGTGGCTTTTATGTGTTCTTTTAATTTTGCAGAAATAAATTCCTTTAAGTTAATCAGCAACAAACTTTTTTTGTCTAGCTATTAAAATTGTTACATATACATAATGAACTTATGAGTGTAATTTTGTGTGTTTTCAAAAGTATATGTTTCATCATAGTCAAAAATTACTTTTTTTGTTATTTCCTTTGGTTTTTGAAACAAATTATTTGTTAATTTAATTTAACTTGATTTAGCATTTAGTCATCAAATATAATTCTCACTATAGAACCTAGATAAAATCAATTAATGAAATAATTATAGATATGGAGACCTTAAAGAGGCATCTCCAAATCTTTTGAACTTATTACTTTGTATATTTAAAAAATTATAATACATAGAAAACATAACTGATGCTATGTTATTTTGTAAGTTATTATAAATCTATGTATATTTCAAAATTTTAACAAGAAATTTGCATTTTTATGAATGTTTTTTCAGAATAAGTTTAACATTTTACAGTTCTTTAAACTTTGCAAAGTGAATGTGTTCTTAATGCTAAACACATGTGATGTTTTAAATAGAAAATGTTAATGCTCAATCATTTTAAATCATTCAGTGATATTCAATGACAATCATTTAAAACATCCAAAGATAAAAACAACTCTATTTTACATATATATGTGTATATACTTTACATATATACATAGTTATTTTACATATATATACTTTACATATATTTATTTTATATGTTATATATATTTAAAAATCTATGTTTAAGTTCTCCTTAATACCGTGACAAAACAATTTCAAGAGTAAAACTTGCTTGAAATGTCAATAACAGAATACTTGCTTAAAAATTTCTAAAATAAATTTACATAAAGGATTACTTCTTCTAAACTCTGCATCAGTAAGCAGTTTAGCAAGATAATTTTATAAGCATGGGGAGGAAGTTGTGCTCTTCTAAATATTCTCTATGATGTTGTCTTAGCCAAACAGCCAGATTATTCCCAAGCCAGTTGGAAGCCATGGCAACCTTGGTAATGTAGCTATTGGCATAATGCAGTTACCTGCTTCTGAAGAGTTCCCAGGATGTTCAAATCACAGTGTGGTGAGTTCTGCCAGATTCACTAGATGGTGTAGGGGAGGATGGGCAGCTAAGAAAAAGGAAACAACATTAACACAAACCACCAACACCACGACAACCACTGAGTTCAATCAATTTTTTTTAAATTACCGTTGAGAATTTTTTTGAGATGGAATCTCACTCGGTCAACCAGGTTGGAGTGCAGTGGCATGATCTCGGCTCACTGCAACCTCCGCTTCTCAGGTTCAAGTGATTCTCCTGCCTCAGCCCCCTGAGTAGCTGGGACTGCAGGCCTGTGCCACCATGCCCAGTTAATTTTTGTATTTTTAGTAGAGACGGGTTTTGCCATGTTGGACAGGTTGGTCTTGAACTCCTGATGTCAGGTGATCCACCCATCTCGGCCTCCCAAAGTGCTGGGATTACAGGTGTGAGCCACCATCCCCGGACATAAGTGGGTTCTTTGGTTTTTAAATGTTTAGAAATTTTTCTTTTAATGTTTTGCTATTGACTTCTAGTTTGAATTGTGGTCAAAAGCAGTCTGTATTATTTCAATTATTTTATATTTTTGAGGTTTTTTTGTGGCTCAGAGTATTGTATATCTTGGTATATGTGCTGGGGATGCTTGAAAATCATATCTATTCCCCTCTTGCTTTGTGGAGTGTTCTATAAATGCCAATTAGCGTCTTTTGATGGATGTTATTGTTGAGTTCTATGTCCTTAAATACTTGGGTTTTTGTCTTTTGCCAGTTTGGTGATATGTTCAGCTATTACTTCATTAAATAACTTTGGCCAGACCTGCTGTCCTTCTCTCTCTCTTTTTTTTTTTCTGGAACTCAGATAACATAAATATTACATCTTTTATTATAATCTCTCGGATCCCAAGACTCTGTTCATTTTTTTTTTCATGTACTTTCAAATTGAGTAACTTGTATTTTTCTGTTTTTTAGTTCATTAATTATTTCCTTTGTCCTTCAACTTTTATGTTTATGCACTGAAAAGGTGACCATTCATTCTTACCTTGATATATATTTCAGCAATAAATATTAAAATTTTAAATACTAGGGGGTCAAACCTATAGTAGATCATGTTGGTGGCAGCTTGCATAGAATCACTGAGGAACACTGGAATGAAGCTCATCAGCCTCATCAAGTTTCCTCTTCTGATCACTTTCATGCTCCTATGCCCCACTAACCTTGCATAAGACATGGCCTCATTCCTTTAATCGCAGTAAAAACAGTGTATTTTCAGGCTCGAAGGAAAAATTAGTGCTGCTGAGGTCTGATATTTTACCTCTTAATTCATTACAAATATAATGTCACTAAAGTTAGACTTCATTTGGCATGGATTAACTAAAAAATACAATTAGATAAAGATACTATTAATGATATTAATGATATAAATATCACCAATATATGTATATTCACCACGGCAATTCTTCTTTTTAAGCTCTATTATGGCTACATTATCTAAAACAGTTAATACTCTTCTAAATAAGTCCAACTTTATTTTATTATTATTATTATTATTATTGTTATTATTATTAATTTTACTTTAAGTTCTGGGATACACGTGCAGAATGTGCAGGTTGGTTACACAGGTTTACATGTGCCATGGTAGTTAACTACACCTATGAACCTATCATCTAGGTTTTAAGCCCCACATGCATTAGGTATTTCTCCTAATGCTCTCCCTCCCCTTGCCGCCCACCTGCCAACAGGCCCCGGTGTGTGTTGTTTCCTTCCCTGTGTCCATGTATCCTCATTGTTCAGTTCCCATTTATGAGTGAGAACATGCGGTGTTTGGTTATCTGTTCCTGTGTTAGTTTGCTGAGAACGACAGCTTCCAGCTTCACTCATGTCCCTGCAAAGGACATGATCTCATTCATTTTTTCTGGCTGCATAGTATTCCATGGTGTATATGTGCCACATTTTCTTTATCCACTCTATCATTGATGGGCATTTGGGTTGGTTCCATGTCTTTGCTATTGTAAATAGTGCTGCATTAAACATACATGTGCATGTGTCTTTATAATAGAATAATTTATAATCCTTTGGGTGTATACTCAGTAATGAGATTGCTGGGTTGAATAGTATTTCTGGTTCTAGATCTTTCAAGAATCGCCACACTGTCTTCCACCATGGTTGAACTAATTTACACTCCCACAAACAGTGTAGAAACGTTCATATTTCTCCACAGCCTCACCAACATCTATTGTTTCCTGAATTTTTAATAATTGCCTTTCTGACTGGCATGAGATGGTATCTCAATGTGTTGTTTTGAGAAGTTTCTACTCATATCCTTCACCCACTTTTTGATGGGTTTGTTTTTTTCTCATAAATTTGTTTAAGTTCCTTGTAGATTCTGGATATTAGACCTTTGTCAGATGGGTAGATTGCAAAAATTTTCTCCCATTCTGTAAGTTGCCTGTTCATTCTGACAATAGTTTCTTTTGCTGTGCAGAAGATCTTTAGTTTAATTAGATCCCATTTGTCAATTTTGGCTTTTGTTGCAATTATTTTTGGTGTTTCAGTCATGAAGTCTTTGCCCATGCCTTTGTCCTGAATGGTATTGACTAGGTTTTCTTCCAGGGTTTTTATGGTTTTGGGTTTTACACTTAAGTCTTTAATTCATCTTGAGTTAATTTTTGTATAAAGTGTAAGGAAGGCATCCAGTTTCAGTTTTCTGCATACGGCTAGCCTGTTTTCCCAGCACCATTTATTAAATAGGGAATCCTTTCCCCATTACACGTTGGGTTGTCGAAGATCAGATGGTTGTAGATGTGTGGTGTTATTTCTGAGGTCTCTGTTCTTTGCCATTGGTGTATATATCTATTTTGGTACCAGTACCATGTTGTTTTGGTTACTGTAGACTTGTAGTTTAGTTTGAAGTCAGGTAGCATGATGCCTCCAGCTCTATTCTTTTTGCCTAGGATTGTCTTGGCTATGCAGGTTCTTCTTTGGTTCCATATGAAATTTAAAGTAGTTTTTTTTCTAATTTTGTGGAGAAAGTCAATGGTTGCTTGATGGGAATAGCATTTAATCTATAAATTTCTTCTGGCAGTATGGCCACTTTCACAACATTGATTCTTCCTATCCATGAGCATGGAATGTTTTTCCATTTGTTTGTGTCCTCTCTTATTTCATTGAGTAGTGATTTGTTGTTCTCCTTGAAGAAGTCCTTCACGTCCCTTGTAAGTTGTATTCCTAGGTATTTTATTCCGTTTGTGGCAATTGTGAATGGGAGTTCATTCATGATTTGGCTCTCTGCTTGTCTATTGTTGGTTTATAGGAATGCTTGTGATTTTTGCACATTGATTTTGTATCCTGAGAATAAGTCCAGCCTTAAATGACACAATAGTTTAAACATTTAGGGAAATATTTTTATTAGTTTTATTTGGCTTGGCTGGAATATATGACAAAAAATACCTGAATCCAAACTTTCTAAACATTTCTTCTAAATATCTGGCATTTCAATTCTATTTACACCATTTTTAAAACTTTAAATTTTTATAGCATGCAATTATTTGATATGTTTAATCAAAATGCTTATGTTCATATCATAGAACTATGTATTTTAGAAAAATCTTACCAAAGAACCAGAAAAAAATTAAGAAGCTGGTGTATTAGTTTGTTTCCACACTGTTGATAAAGACATACCTGAGACTGGGAAGCAAAAGAGGTTTAATTGGACTTACAGTTCCACATGGCTCGGGAGGCCTCGGAATCATGGTGGGAGGTGAAAGGCACTTTTTACGTGGTGGCGGCAAGAGAAGAAATGAGGACAAAGCAAAAGTGGAAACCTCTGATAAACCCATCAGACCTTGTGAGACTTATTCACTATCACAAGAATAGCACAGGGAAGGCCGGGCCCCATGATTCAATTACCTCTTCCCATGTCCCTCCACAACATGTGAGAATTCTGGGAGATACAATCCAAGTTGAGATTTGGGTGGGGGCACAGCCAAATCATATCATTCTGCCCCTGGCCCCTCCAAATCTCATGTCCTCATATTTCAAAACCAATCATGCCTTCCCAACAGTCACCCAACGTCTTAACTCATTTCAGCATTAACCCAAAAGTCCATGATCCAAAGTCTCACCTGAGACAAGGCAAGACCCTTCCACCTATGGGCCTGTAAAATGAAAAGCAAGCTAATTACTTCCTAGATACAATGAGGATACAGGTATTGGGTAAATACAATAATTCCAAATGGGAAAAATTGGCCAAAACAAAGGGGTTACAGGGCGCAAGCAAACCCAACATTCAGTGGGGCAGTCAAATTTTAAAGCTTCAAAATTACCTCCTTTGACTCCAGGTCTCACATCCAGATCATGCTGATGCAAAACATGTGTTCCCATGGTCTTGGGCAGCTCTGCCCCTCTGGCTTTACAGGGTACAGCCTCCCTCCTGGCTGCTTTCACAAGCTGGTATGAGTGTCTGCAGCTTTTCCAGGTGCACAGTGCAAGCTGTTAGTGGATCTACCATTCTGTGCCCTGGAGGACAGTGGCCCTCTTCTCACAGCTCCACTAGGCATTGTCCCAGTAGGGACACTGTGTGGGGACTCCGACCCCACATTTCCCTTCCACACTGCCCTAGCAGAGGTTCTCCATGAGCGCCCCCAATGCAGCAAACTTTTGTCTGGTCATCCAGGCGTTTCCCTACATCTTCTGAAATCTAGGTAGAGGCCCCCCAACCTCAATTCTTGACTTCCGTATACCCACAGGCTCAATACCACATAGAAGCTGCCAAGGCTTGGGGCTTCCACCCTCTGAAGCCACATTTTGAGCTCTATGTTGTCACCTTTCAGCCATGGCTGGAGGGCTGGGACACAGGGCATCAAGTCCCTAGGCTGCACACAGCACAGAGACCCTGGGCCTGGCCCACGAAACCACATTTTCCTCATTGGCCTCTGGGCCTGTGATGGGAGGGGCTGCCGTGAAGGTCTCTGACACGGCCTGGAGACATTTTCCCCATGGTCTTGGGGATTAACATTAGGCTTTTTGCCACTTACACAAATTTCTGCAGCTGGCTTGAATTTCTCCTCAAAAAATGAGTTGTTGTTTTTTTCTACTGCATCATCAGGCTGCAAATTTTCTGAAGTTTTATGCTGTTTACCTTTTAAATGGAATGCTTTTAATAGCACCCAAGTCACCTTTGAATGCTTTGCTGCTTAGAAATTTCTTCCACCGGATAGCCTAAATCAACTCTCTCAAGTTCAAAGTTCCACAAATCTCTAGGGCAGGGGCAAAATGCTGCCAATCTCTTTGCTAAAACATAACAAGGGACACTTTTGTTCCAGTTCCCAACAAGTTCCTTATTGCTATCTGAGAACACCTCAGCCTGGACCTTATTGTTCATATCACTATCAGCATTTTTGTCAAAGCCATTCAATAAGACTTTAGGAGGTTCCAAACTTTCCCACATTTACCTGTCTTTTTCTGAGCCCTCCAAACTGTTCCAACTTCTGCCTGTTACCCAGTTGCAAAGTCGTTTCCACATTTTTGGGTAGCTTTTCAGCAACACCCCACTTCCAGTACCAATTTACTGTATTAGTTTGTTTTCACACTGCTGATAAAGATATACCCAACACTGGGAAGAAAAGGAGGTTTAAATGGACTTACAGTTCCACATGGTTGGGGAGGCCTCAGAATCATGGCACAAGGCAAAAGGCACTTCTTACGTAGCAGCAGCAAGAGAAAAATTGAGGAAGAAGTAAAAGCAGAAACCCCTGATAAACCCATCGGATCTCATTAGATTTATTCACTATCATTAAAATAGCACAGGAAAGACCGGCCCCCATGATTCAATTACCTCCCCCTGGATCCTTCTAATGACACGTTGGAATTCTGGGAGATACAATTCAAGTTGAGATTTGGGTGGGGGCACAGCCAAACCATATCAGCTAGAAATCAGTTTTTGAAATGTAACATACTGATGACATGACTGTGTACACGTTAGCTACCTGTAAGTAGCAAAGCCGATTTTCTATTTGCATAATGTCTTAGCATTAAAAGCCTATAATGCTTTGTATCTCATAAAAATTATCTACATAGTATTTTTAATCAGATGTTGAATTCCAGAAATTAAAAATATTACTTTGATTTGATTTTTTAAAAATATGCTACATTAGTTGAACTCAGATGACAATGGATGATTTTTAAGAGGGAAACGTTATCCTCATTCTATTTTACACAATGAAAAGTCAATTTTCTTAAACAATATGGTCAATTTCTAATTCTATTCAGTCATCAGATCATGCCATTGCTGATTTGTATTAAATTGTCAATATGCAGATATATTACCAGTCACCTGAGTTTGAATTTATTTTTAAAGACAAATTTCTTGCTTGCATTATATTATCATCTCACACTGCACTATAAACAATTATCAGCCTGTGCTAGAGATGATTTAGTTGCATATTTATTTCCAGTGGCCATACTTCAAATGGTTGAAGACTAATAATATGGTAATAGGCAATAATAACGATTCTATAATTTGAGATGTGTGACCCTTTATTAAATATTTGTAATGAAAGTAAAATTTTCTGCTAATAATTAGTTAAGACTAAAGCAGTAAAGAAGAGCAAGGGCTTTTAAAATTATGGTATGATTTGTTTAGATAAAAAATATTCAGATAAGCACTCTAAAACTTGCCCCATTGCCACTCTAACTCAAAGCACTTTAATCTTATTTATCCAGGGGAAAAAAATCACATTAATATAGAATGTAATTCTAATTCTCTATTTGTTTCTTTATAAACATTTTCCCAAATTTTGAAATAAGTTTACTCTGAGTCTTTTTTTGTGTTCAGAATATTTATGATGTCATTAAACATGCCCAGAAAATAATTATTTAACAGGATACCAAAAAAAGCTCTCTAATGATATTAAAATGCAAATTAAGTTTGGAAAGCTAATTCCCAATGGATCACCATTGCATAAATCACAAGAGATTATGATACTGGATTTCTCTGAGTATAAATCTATGTCATATATATTTAAAATAGAGAGTTGTAAATTACCCATATTATAAACCTTGCTTTTCTTATTATATTTAATTGCCACATAATAATTGTACATATTAATAGAGTACAGCATATTTTGATACATGTATACAATGTGTAATGATCAAGTTTGAATAATTTGCATATCCATCATCTCATTTATCATTGATAAATTTAACAAATTTATTTTCTAAATTATCCCTTAATAGAAAAAGTTCATTTTTCCTTTTCGAAAAATACTACCCAAACCATTTGCACATATCAGTTATCAACTACCTCTACTAATATTGCCATTATCAGTTTTGAACATTGTTTTTCATGGCAGGAGACAATAACCAAAAACAATATTCTATTGAAAACTATAATAAACATAATACATATCTAAACACTTTTGACTAAATGACCTCAATCTATAGAAATGTCATTCTTTCATCAAGTATTACTTTTTATTTTATTTCATTATTTATTTTTCTTTTATCAAAGATATATATTTTTATAATTTTTCATAAGCCAAATGCCCTTTTAATATCTATAATTTAAAAATGAACTTTAATATTAAATATTTTTTCTAAGATGGCAGAATAGAAGAGGCTTTATTAACATTCCTCACCTACTTGGAAATGGCAAAAAGATGTATAGAGATTCACATTGTGAAGTTTTATCTAAGAAGAAACATGAGAGTTAAACATAAAGGCAAAATTTGAATATTGGGGAAAAAGCAGCAGACAGCATCCCATGCAGCAGGGTCTGGTGGAAAATTGTGAGTGAATTCCCAGTGCATTAAAGGCCTGGTGAGTGTCTCCAGGATACATGTTTCCATTGGGGAACTAGACAGTCTAGCCCAGCGGGGAGCTTATAGACCCTATCAAGCCCCAGATCTGACTTGGGGACCAGTCAGGAATCTATGAGAAGAAATGGCGCTGGCAATTATCCCATGCATGCTCTCAGACCTGTGTGCCAACAGAAGAAAGTCATTCATGATCCCATCTCATAGAGGACTAAATAGAAACTCGCTAGTCAGCCCAGGGCAGCAGTCACTGGTTTGGAGAGTCCCAGGAAGGGAAGCTGTGATCTGGTCTCATGCAATGAAGAAGCCCTAATGACCAGAGCTGAGAGGCAAGCATGGCCTAAACTCCAGTCATGCACATGAGAACTGGGCATGCACCTTTTGCAGGACAGAACTGGGAGGGGTTAGTTAAAGAGGCATGGTTCTGACACCTGCGGCAAGTTTTGCAGCCTGGGACATTTTTATGATATGAAGGCAAACTGCACTTGCTTTGGCTAACTGTCCTGACATGCTTCCAGCATCAGCCTATGGGAGGAAGCTTCACCAGGTCAGGAGTATAAGAACAAAGTGGGTCCCTCTACTGCTTGCTAGCTGTGTAGCCTAAGCTGCCCCTCTTTCCCCATGCTGGGTTGCTGATATGGCAGTGGTTGCTTCACTTCTCACTGGGGCATCTCACCAGGGGCCTTGGGCTGCCACCATTGGGGGCTTGTGTGCAGGTTTACCTGGCCCAGCCCTCCCAGGCTGTGCCCCTAACTCCTCCCTGAAGGCAGAGCATGAATCCAGGATCACTAAGCATTTCATTGCCCAACCCATCACCAGGGATGCTTAAATACTTCAACGGGTCAATTATAAACCTACTGCCACCACTGCAACTGGCTCCGATTAGCAAGCACCACCTACTGGTCTGGAGGTTGACCTTCACAGCTCATTACAATATCTGATGGCACAACTGCACAGCACTTGAGAATGAGGCAAGCTATGTGTGAGTTCTGTTACTACCATCACCCACACCACCTTTGCTGCTCAGGAAGCCTTGAACCCACTGACCTACCAGGCATATTGCTTCTACAACTGGCATTTGAGAAAGCCACTACAGTAAGGCTGTTTATAGCCAAGGCAATCATACAGAGTCTACACCGCTGAGTCTACCCAGAAACAAAGCCAAATATCCCAACTCTACATACATTATATTCACATCCTCAAGAAGAAAAATGTCTGGTTCCAACAAAAGTAAATTTAAAAATAAGAAGTGATGATTTCTCCAGATGCAAAGAAATCAGCATAATAATATTGGAATTAGAAAAGACAAGGTCTTGTGACACCACCAAAGCAACATAGTAACTCTCTAAGAATTGAATTTTACCAAAATGAAATTTTCAAAATTCCAGATATAGAGCCTAAAATATTGCTTTTAAAGAAGTTCAATGAGATCCATGAGAAATCTAAAAATCAATACAAATAAATCAGAAAATAAATTAAGGATATGAATTAGAATTTTACCAAGGAGATAGATATTTTTAAAAGAAAAACAACAACCATTACTCAGAGTAATAAAAAAAATCATTGAAAGCATTACAACATTAATTGAAAGGTCAATAATAGACCAGACCAAGCAGAATAGAGAATCTCAGAAAATGAATACAGGTCTTCTGAAGTAATCCAGTCAGAAAATAAATACAAAACAGATTTAAAAGAATAAGCAAAGCTTTAGAGAAGTATGGGACTACATAAAGTGTTCAAACTTACAAGCCACCAAGAAGTGTGAAAAACCTATTTAAGGAAATACTTGATGAAAACATTTCTACTCTTGAAAGAGATTTAGACATTCAGATACAAAAGCCCAGATGAGTGCCAAGATGTACGTTGCAAGATGGATTTCACAATGACTTATAGTGATTAGGCTGTCTTCAGTGAACGTGAAGGAAAAAAAAATCCTAAAATTAGCTATAGAAATGCATCTAGTCACCTATAAAGGAAACCCTATCAGATAAATCAGGAAAGATTGGTAGACTATTTTCATAGTTTTTAAATACAAAAACTCTCCACCACCAGTTAAATATCCTATCAGAATAAGCTTCATAAATGAAGGAGAAATAAAGTCTTTCCCAGGCAAATAAACTCTGAGAGAATTAACCACCTCTAGACTGCCTCTACAAGAAATGCTAAAAGGAGTTCTAAACAAGGAAACAAAAGGTTTGTATTACCCACCTCATCTTGGCTACTCAAGAACCCTTGAGCCCACTGATCCACCAGGCACATTGTTACTATAACCAAAAAAAATACACAAAGGAATAAAAGTCACAGGTTTTATAAAGCAATTACACAAAGAAGAAGGATAAAGAAATTAAATGACAACATGACAGAACTCTACCAAACTAGAAATAAAATAGGGAAATAAACAAAGAATTTACAAAATAACTAGATAATTAACATTATGACAGGAATAAAACCTCATGTATCAATATTAACCTTGAAGGTAAATAGATTAAATGCTCCATTTTTAAAAAAAAGATATAAATTGGCAGAAGGGATTTTTTAAAAATTGATCAAACAGTATGCTGCTTACAAGACACTCACCTTACTGGGAAAGACACTTATAGACTGAAGGTAAAGAAATGGAAAAACATATTTCACCCAAACAGAATCAGAAGTGAGCAAAAGTAACTATACTTACGTCAGATGAACAGACTTTAAATAGAAAATAGTAAAAAAAAAGAAGGTTATTATATAATGATAAAGGGATCAATTCAATAGAGGCTGTAACAATCCTAAATATATAGGTACCCAACAGTGGACCACCGAGATTTATAAAACAAATATTACAAGACCTACAGAAGGAGATTATAATAAAATGACAGTTGAGGACTTCAACACTCTACTCACAGCACTAGACAGATCATCAAAATAGAAAATCAACAAAGAAACACTGAAATTATATTGAACTTTAGATGAAATAGATGTAACAGATACAGAACATTCTATTTAACAACTGCAGAATATACACCCTTCTCATCAATACATGGAGTATTATCCAAGACAGATCTTATGTTAGGCCATAAAATAAGTCTTAATACATTTTTAAAATTGAAATCATATCAAGTATCTTGTCTTACCACAACAAATAAAACTAGAATCAATCTCAAGAGAAACTCTCAAAACTATACAAACACGTGGAAATTCAACAACATGTTCCTGAAGAATCTTTGAGTTAATGATGATATTAAGATGGAAATTTAAGAAACGTTTAAAACACATCAAAAGGAAGACACAAAAAAAAACCTCTTGGGTATAGCAAAACCTGGACTAAAAAGTAATTTTATAGTGTTAACTGCTTACATCAAAAACAGATAAAGATTACAAATTAACAACCTAATGTGATACTTCAAGGAATTAGGATAAGAAGAACAAATCAAACCCAAAGCTAGCAGAAGAAAAAAAAAATAACAAAGATCAAAGCAGAACTAAATGTGATTGAGACAAAAAAATACAAAGAATTGGCAAAATGAAAAATTGGTTCCCTGAAAAAATAAACAAATTGATAAACCACTAGCTAGACTGACCAAGAAAAAGGGAGGGATGAAAATAAACATTATCAGAAATGAAAAAGAAGGTATTAAATGTGATACCACAAAAATGAAAAGATTGTCAGATACTACTATGAAAATCTATGTGCTCACACACTGGAAAACCTAGAGGAAATGGATAAATTTATGGAAAAATAGAATATCTTGAGATTTAACCAGGAAGAAATTAAAATTCTGAACAGACAGTAACAAGTAGTGTTATTGGATCAGTAGTAAAAACAATCTCCCTAAAACAACAAAAAAGCCTAGGATCAGATGAATTCACTGTCACATTCCACAAAACTTACAAAGAAGAACTGGTACCAATCCTCCTGAAACAACTCTTCCAAAAAATCAAGGGTAAGGGAATGTTTCCTAAGTCATTCTATGAAGCCAGTATCAACTTGATAGCAGAGCCAAAGACAGAATAACAGTAAAAAATATTTCAGACCAATATTCCTGATAAACATAGATGCAAACATTCTCAACAAAATACTAGCAAACGGAATCCAATAGCATATCGAAAGGATAATAGGCCATGAACAAGAGGGTTTTATTGTATGGATGCAAGGATGGTTCAAAATATAAAATTAATAAATGTGATTCATCACATAAACAGAATTAGGTTCAAAACCATATTATTGTCTATTTCAATAGATGCAGAACAAATTTTTTTATAATATCCAGCATCTCTTCATGATAAAAACCCTCAACAAACTAGGCATAGAAGTTTATAGTGTAGTTTATACTGTTAAATGCCTACATCAGAAATATAGAAGGACCACAAATTAATAACCTAATGTGATACCTCAAGGAACTAGAATAACAAGAACAAACCAAACCCAAAGCCAGCAGAAGAAAAAAAAGACAAAAGAAGAACTAAATAAGACACCCCAAAAATAAAGGCTATATATGACAAACCCACAGCCAACATCATACACAATGGGGAAAGAAAGAAATTCCCCTAAGAACTGAAACAAGACAATGGTGCCTAATTTTAACACTCCTATTCAAAATAGTCCTGGAAGTCCTAGCCAGAACAATCAGGCAAGAGAAATAAATAAAAGGCATCCACATTGGAAAATAGGAAGTCAAATTATCTGTGTTTTTTCATGATATGATCTTATTCCTAGAAAATCCAAGACTGCCAAAAATCTCTCAGACTTGATAAATACAATTAAGAAGGTTGCAGGATACCAAACCAATCAACAAAAATTGGTAGCATTTTTATACACCTATAAATCTAGGTTTTATACACCTATACAACTATGAAGCTCAGAACCAAATCAAGAAGTCAATTGCATTTATGATAATTTCTAAAAAATCTGTAAATATATTTAATGAAGAGATATAAAGTTCACTGCAAGGAAAACTACATAAATCTGATGAAAGAAATTGTAGATAATACAAACAAGAGGACAACATCCCATACTCATGGAGTGGAAGAATCAATATCATTCAAATGGCTATACTGTGCAAAGCAATCTATGGATTTATTGCAATCCCTATTAAAATACGAACATCATTAATCACAGAATTAGAAAAATAATTCCTATTGTTCATATGGAACCAAAAAAGAGTCTGAATGGCCAAAGCAACCTGAAACAAAAAGAAGAAAGCCAAAGGCATCACATCACCTGACCTCAAATTATGCTACAAGCCTATAGTAACTAAAACAGCATGATATTGATATAAAAATAGATACATAGAATCAATGAAACACAATAGAGAACTCAGAAAAAAGGTCATATATCTACAGCCAACTGATCTTTGACAAAGTGGACAAAAACATGCACTGGGGAAAGGACACCCTATTCAATAAATAATGCTGAGGAAATTGGTTTGCCACAAACAAAACAATGACACTATACCCCTATATCTCATACATACAAAAATCAACTCAAGAAGTAGCAAAGACATAAATGCAAGACCTGAAGCTGTTAAAATACCAAAAGAAAACCTATGAAAAATTTTCACAGACATTGGTCTGGGCAAAGAATACATGACTCAGGCGTCAAAAGATCAAATAACAAGACCAAAAATAGACAACAACAACAAAATATCCCCATTAAAAAGTGGGAAGGGGGCATGAATAACCATTTTTGAAGAAAACATACAAATGGCCAAGAAGAATATGAAAAAAAGTTCAACATCACTAATTATCAGAGAATTGCAAATTAAAACCACAATGAGATATCATCTTATACCAGAGAGAATGTGTATTATTAAAACATTTAAAAATATCAGGTGTTGGCACGGATGCAGAGAAAACAGAATGCTAATACACTGTTGGTTAGAATGTAAATTAGTACAGCTTCTATGGAAGATAGCATGGAGATTTGTCAAGGAACCAAAAATTAACCTGCCATTGTATCCAGCAATCCAACTACTTGATAGCTACCCAAAATAAAGGAAATTATTATTTAAAAGTATACATGCACTTGTATGTTCAATGCAGCACTATTTACAATAGCAAAGATTTGGAATGAATCTAAGTATCACTCAACAGATGAATGGATTTTTAAAATGTGGTATATACATGAAAAGAAATAATATTCAGCCTTAAAAAAAGGAATGAAAATATGTCTTTATCAGCAACATGGGTGGAGCTGGAGGTCATTATCTTAAGTGAGGCAATTCAGAAACAGAAAACCACACTCTGCTTGTTCTCACCTATAAGAGGGAGCTAAATAATGTGTATACATTGACATAGGGAGTGGAATAATAGACACTGGAGACTTGGAAGTGTGGAACGGGGATGAGGGATAAGAAATTATGTAATGAGTACAATGTACTTTATTTGGTTGATGTTTACGCTACAAGGCCAAACTTCACCACTATGCAATATAACCATGTAACAAACTTGCACTTTTAATCCTTAAAATTATACAATTTTTTAAAAATGAAACAATCAGGCAAGATTTTACCTCCTTACCTTCTTATTAAGCACACTTTGATGAATCTCATTCTCTAAGCATGGCTGAATTCTGATTTCAGTGTTTTATAATGAACTATTCAACAGCTATTAAATTGTCTGTGGGTGATTTTGTTCTGTTTTTATATTGTTTTTGCAAGAGGTTTAATCAAGTAACCCTGACTTGTTATCTGCCATTCCAAGGCATTATCAATCAAATGCTTTTTAAAAAGTCATCAGAAAATGGGAGTATTAAACATGCTATTCTTTTTCAATTCTCCAACTAACATGTGTTAAATATTATATATCCATAATGTGTCTCAATCTTATAGAAAGCTGCTGAATATATGTGCCCAAACTGTTGAGAAATAAATTCTTGGCCCTGCTAAATACACTTCATACTGACAAAAAAAAAAAAAAAAGAAATTTTTCAATGCAATTTGGTAGCTACAGGGACAGCTATGCTCATGAGGCAAAGACCCCCTTTATCTACTTTTGTAACACCTTTATTGAGACATAATTTACATACCATAAAATTCACCATGTGTACAACAAAATGGTTTTTACCATATCGCAGAGTTGTGCAACCCTCACCACATCAATATTAGAATATTCTACTCTCCCCAAAAAGAAACAACATATTAATTTAGCCATTATACTCAATCTTTAATTCTCCTAGCCCTAGGCAACAATTAATCCTATTTCCAGTTGTATGGATATTCCTCTTCTGGGCATTTCATAAAATTAGAATCATATAATATGCAGTCATTTCTCCTAGCCTAATGTTTTCAAGGTTCATACTTCTTGTAGTGTGTCTCAGTACTTCATTTTATGACTGACTAGTACTCCATTGACTGGACATATTGCATTTTGTTTATCCATTCATCAATTGATGGACATTTGGGTGGTATCCAGCTCCTGGGTATTATAAATAATGTTGCTATGAATATTCAAGTACAAGTTTTTGTGTGGACATATGTTTTTATTTCTCTTGAGTATATATTTAGGAGTGAAAGTGCTACGTCAAATGGTAACTGTACTAAACATTTTGAGTTACTTCCAGACTGTTTTCCAAAGTGTCTGAATCATTTTACATTCTGTCTAAAGTATATAGGGTTCCAACTTCTCTACATCCTTGCTAACATTATTTTCTATCATTTTGATAATAGCAATCTAGTAAGTATGAAGTCGTATCTCATTGCGGTTTGATTTGCATTTCTCTCATGACTAATGATATTGAACATCTTTTCATGTGCTTAGTGCCATTTGTACCTCTCTTTGTAGAAGTGTTCATTCTTTTGTAGAAACGACCATTTTTTAATTGGGCTTTGTGTCATCTTCTCATTGAGTTGTAAAGGTCTTTTATGTAGGCTAGATACAGGTCTCTTGTCAGTTGTTATTTGCAAATATTTTCTCCCACTTTGTGTGTTGTCTTTCCACTTTCTTGATAGTGTCTTTTCATTCACAAAATATTTTTATTTTGATGAAGTACAATTTATTTTTTCTTTTGTTGCTTGTGCTTTTGATGTCATATCTAAGAAAACATTGCTCAATCCAAAATTACAAAGATTTGCTCTTATGTTTATTTTAAATTTTACAGTTTTAGCTCTTATATTTAAGTCTTTGATTCACTTGATTTAATTTTCTTATAATTTGTAAGATAGGTATCTAACTTCATTGCATGCTACAGAGAAATCTTTTGTGAAAGGAAGAGTCAATCAATGTGACAAACTTTATTGTTGTGTTATTTTAAGAAATTACCACAGCCATGACAACCTTCAGCAACCACCATGCTGATCAGTCTGTAACCATCAGCACTGAAGCATCACCTTCCACCAGGGTCTTTGGAAAGACTATGACTCTCTGAAGCCTCAGATGATCATTAGCATTTTTTAGTAATAAAGTATTTTTAAATTAAGATATGTACATTGGCTTTTTACACATAATGCTATTTCATACTTTAATAGACTGCAATATAGTGTAAATATAACTTTTATATGCGCTTGAATACCAAAAATATGTAGGATTTGCTTTATTGTGATATTCACTTTATTGTGATTTTCACTTTATTGTGATCATTTATAGATGAACCAGCAATATATCTGAGGTATGTCGGTGCAAGATCAGAAGGAACATAATGCCCCATGGACACTTTTGCAAATGAAAGATTTCCTTGGTGAAGAACTAGATGGCTGAGGAAATAATTTCATAAATGATCAAAACCTTAGTAATTTGATGTAATTTCCAGAAATTTCCTATTGTGAACTTACACATTCTCAATACATTGGGCAAGCTTTTAGAAAGATGCTCTTCATTGACAGCTGGTCTCGTGAAATTATACTTAATAAAAATAAATAACAATACAGTTACAGGAAAATAAAATTATAGACCAGTATATCTAATAAAAATTTTTTGAGCTTTAGAGTCAAATTTATCTGAGAGAGAATTTTAATAGAACACAGGAGTCACTAGCACAATGCGAGTACAGCAGGAGTTGAACAAATACCTATTTGACTGAATATAGTTGACCCAGGTTATGAATGCCGAAGAGGAGTTTCATTCTTTCTTTATTTTTGCGAAAATCTGCAAAGAGTTGGTGGTTTGATATTCTCAAAATATATTAATTGTCCTAGAAAACCTACAAGGTAGTCAAGGGTTAGCAAGGTGACAATCTTTATTTTAGTATAAAAACTAGGACAAGTCCCAGTTGGGAGATTTTAATTAAAGCAATCTGTATCAGGATAATTAATATTTTTTTGCTTTCTTATATACACAAAAATAAGTTCAAATATTTCAAAGGTACTATTCAAATTATTATACAAAATTTTAATATCCTGAAGGTATTTATTTAATAATTTTTATAATCACCTAATAAACTACAACTTTCCGTTACTTCCAAACATCAGGAATGAACAAAAAAACTTTCTATGCTTTTGGCCAGGCGCGGTGGCTCACGTCTGTAATCCCAGCACTTTGGCAGGCCAAGGCAGGCGGATCACGAGGTCAGGAGATCGAGACCATCCTGTCTAAGACGGTGAAACCCTGTCTCTACTAAAAATACAAAAAATTAGCCGGTCGTGGTGGTGGGCGCCTGTATCCCCAGCTACTCGGGAGGCTGAAGCAGGAGAATGGCGTGAACCCGGGAGGCGGAGCTTGCAGTGAGCCGAGATCACACCGCTGCGCTTCAGCCTGGGCGACAGAGTGAGACTCCGTCTCAAAAAAAAAAAAAAAAAAAACTTTCTATGCTTTCTAGACATAAACAATACATTTTTAATATTTTGTATTAAAAGTATCCAGTGAAATATGAACACCTATTTAAAAATTATATTTAATTTAAACTTGCATATAAAAACACATTTTTTTTGCCACATATGCACACAAATGAGTTCCTTTATAAAGAATGACCACAGAATTGAAAAGAAAACAAAGAGGTTAAAGAGCATTGCTATGGTCTGAATATGTCCCCTAAAATTCACATTTTGGAAACTTATTTCCCAGTGTAACAGTGTTGGAAAGCAGGGCCTTTTGAGAGGTGTTTAAGTCATGAGGGCTCCAGCCTGCTCAATGAATTAATGCCGTATAAAACGACTTGATGGAGTTTACTCCCATTTGCTCTGTTGTCTCTTCATTCATGTCAGGACAGAGTTCTTCCACTACAGAAGAGGCAGCACCTTGTTGCCTCTTGGTGCCTTGGAAACAAAGAGCAGCCCTAAACAGATAGATGAACTTGATAGCATCTTAATCTTAGCTTTCCTAACCTTCAGAACTGTGAAAAATAAACAAATTTATGTTTTTTATAAATTAGTCTCAGATATTCTGTTAAAGCAACCCAAAGTGCCTAAGACAAACATATACACCTAAATCTCAGCTAGAAAACATAAACATTACAAAATTATACATTAGTTTTCAACTAATTGAGCAATCTTCCTTGCCTCTAAATTGTCACAGAACTATATAGAATTAAGTATACTTAGAATCATTTTTCTCCTTTGGAAGATCCATAAATACAAGAAAAATATATGAGTATTCAGGACAGGTATATAAGCCTAGCATTGTGTTTATTAGAGAACTGAAGTTAAAGAACTTTAGCAGCATATATCTTAAAAGAGACTCCCCTCCTTAAAAGTAGTTATAATATCTTCTGTAATATCATTTTAGATTTATCATCTGCACCTGGTTGGTACCATAGTAGATCAGGTTTTAAAAATTGTTCATGTTGTGTGTTTTTGTTGTTGTTATTAACACGTATAGTAATTTAAAATTATATACCAAACTATGTGCAGTTTAAATTTTGGATAATATTAAAAAATATTGGATAATATTAAAAAATAAAATAACTGTTATTTTTTATCTAATGGACATTTATGCTATTGTAAGCAGGCAATTCTCTTGCTGGTAATTGAAATGCAACTCTGCTTCTTGAGTGTAAGTTATCACAAATCAGATATTTTTTTCCCCAGTGAGTTGAATTGAGAACCCTCTGTTTGCACTTTCAACTCTAGAATTGCCATACTTTCTTCAATGGGCATACATGGCCTATCTTTAGTTTCCTAGATCTCCCAGGCAGAGAGATTATTTTATCAACCAATATTTCCATTGCTATCACTGCTACTGCTACCTTCCCTGACAATCACATTTAGTCCAAAAAAAAAAAAGCTACAATGATTGAGAACTTATTCACCCACCCCATATTTTCCCTCCCCTACCTATGACATCCATTTATCTCCAGAGTTCTAGTGCTCTGTTTACTCTCTTGTGCTGTCAGTCTATCACATTTTGTACTCTTGTTCAGACTTTATGGTTATTTTCTGCAAGCGGTCACCCCGTAGTGCCTAAATTTTTGATTACCATAATCTATAAGTGCAAATATGTGCCAAAAAAATTTGATAGAATGAAATTTTCCCCAAACTTGCAGGTTATCACTCATGAACTCCTCAACCACAGATAGCAATCTGTTAGGTCCATCAATCAATTTTTCAACTTATCCATTCATTATTTTAATAAAATTTAATAGAGACTTTCATATATCATTATCATCACAACATTCTCATAGAATATTAGAAAAGGAAGTCACTTCAGCAGTCATATATTATTGGTAATATATTTTTTATCAGTTCCGTCCTACTGTACAGTAAGGTAATTTCAAATTTGCTAACCCATGCCCCTATGAGAAACAAATTAAGTAGTTACAGTTCATATTTATTTACAGTTTCTTTTCTCTTTAACTAAGGATAGTCCTTTACCTCCCCACTCCCTCCAGTGTGGTTGTTATTCATTTGTAATACCGTTGAGTTAATCTGTTACAGTTTCTATTTCATTATGGGTTCTCCCCAAGATAACACTTGCTTCTCTAGTTCTTTTTAATTTTATGTAAGACCAAATCTATTCCATGTGATGTAAAGTTTTACAAGTATTGGGACGTGCATATAGTCATTTGTTTGCCACCACAGACATGATATTAACAGTGTCACCGGGACAAGTTACAGTCATGATTCTCATTTGTAGTTAAGTCTTCCCTCAACACCCTTAGCCCCTGGAAACCACTGGTCAGTTTCCTGTCTTTATAGTTTTGTTTTTCAGAATGACCTAAAAATTAAATCATACAGTATGCAGTCTTTGGCACCTGACTCCTTTCACTTTATAAGGTGTATTTAAATTTCAACTATTTGGTTGCAGGAATCAACAGTCCACTCATTTTTATCATTTGGTGATACTCTATTGTGTATATATACCAAAGTTGAAGGACATCTAAGTTGTTTCCAGTTTGGGGTGATCATAAATAACATGGCTATAAATATTTACATATAGGTTTTCGAGGTAAAAAATAAAAGCTTTCATTTATCTTTCATGAATATCTAGGAATTGAATTGCTACATTATAAGTGAACACTAAACCTTATAAGAAAACACCAAAATTTTTTTCCAGTTTTATCAGCACTGTTCAAGTGTTTCTGATGTTCTGAATCTTTGTCAGTAATTGGAATTATTTTTGCCATTTTAATAAGTGTGCAATGGTGTCTTTGTGTTTTAATTTGTATTTCCCTAAAGAATAATAATACTGAACGTATTTTATCTGAATATTTACTATATGTCTATCTTCCTTGGTGAAGTGTCCTGTCAGATCTTTAGCTATGTTTTTTTAGGGGGGTAGGTTTTTTTTTAGAACAGTTTAAGGTTTGAAACAAAGTTGAGCAGAAAGTAGAATCTTCACATGCCCCTTTTCCACACATACTCACATCTTTCCACACATAGTCACATCTTCCTTCACCATCAACATCCTGCATCAGAGTGTTACAATAATTACAATACAAAAACCAACATTGACACATTATTAGCAACCAAAGTCTAGAGTTTACATCAGGATTCGTTCTTATTGTTGTATTTCTGTGGGTTTGGTATATGTTTGTGTGATATATATTCACCATTATAGTATCATATAGAATAGTTTCCCTGCCCTAACAATCCACTATGCTTCAGTTATTTATTCCTCCCACTTTCATACCCCTGAAACCATATATCATTTCACTGTCTCTATAGTTTTTATT
This sequence comes from Homo sapiens, assembly GCF_000001405.40. Classification (NCBI taxonomy): domain Eukaryota; kingdom Metazoa; phylum Chordata; class Mammalia; order Primates; family Hominidae; genus Homo; species Homo sapiens. The sequence goes on from NC_000002.12 coordinate 193,024,411, forward strand.
TTCCAGAATATCATATCTTTGGAAAAATATAGTATTTAGCCCTTTTAGATTTAGTTTTTAATTGAATTTTTTTAAAAAATTATACATTCAGGGGGTACATGTGCAGGTTTGTTATATTGATAAATTGTGTAATGGTGAGGCTTAGGCTTCTAGCGTGTTTTGCACCCAAATATTAAAAGTTGTACCCACGAGATAATTTTTCAACTCCCACCCTTGCACCCTCCCCACCTGTGGATTCTTCAGTGTCTACAACATCCATCTTTATGTCCATGAGTACCCATGTTTAGCTCTCACTTACAAGTGAGAATATGTGATATTTGATTTCTGAGTTATTTCACTTACGGTAGACTAGAGATAAAATAATGGGTTATAAGATTGTATTTGAAGCCTCATGGTAACTTCAAATAAAACAAAACATACAATGAGAAACACAAAAAATTAAAAGCAAGAAACTAAATTGTATCAACAGAGACAATCACTTTCACTAGAGGAAAACAGAAAGGAAAGAAACAATGAAGAGAAGACCACAAAACAACCAAAACAACAAATAACAAAATGGCAGGAGTAAGTACCTACTTATCAATAATAACATTAAATATAAATGGACTAAACTCTCCAATCAAAAGTTATAGAGTGAGTGGATTAAAAAACCAAGACCTTGTGGTTTGTTGCCTATAAGAAACACACACTTCACCTATAAAGATACACATAGACTGAAAACAAAGAAATGGAAAAAGGATTTGGTTTCCATGTCAACGGAAACAGAAAAGGAGCAGAAGTAGCTACATTTGTTGTGGGAAGTCAGGGACCCTGAATGGAGGGACGGGCTGAAGCCGTGGAAGAAGAACATAAATTGTGAAGATTTCATGGACATTTATTAGTTCCCCAAATTAATACTTGTATAATTTCCTACGCCTGTCTTTACTGCAAACTCTGAATATAAATTGTGATGATTTCATGGACATTAATCACTTCCCCAATCAATACTCTTATAATTTCCTATGCGTCTTTACTTTAATCTCTTAATCCTGTCATCTTTGTAAGCTGAGGATGTATGTCACCTCATGACCCTGTGATGACTGCGTAAACTGCACAAATTGTTTGTAAAACATGTGTGTTTGAACAATATGAAATCTGGGCATCCTAAAAAAGAACAGGATAACAGCGATTTTCAGGGAACAAGGGAGATAACCATAAGATCTGACTGCCTGCAGGGCCGGGCAGAACAGAGTCATATTTCTCTTCTTGCAGAAAGTGAATAGGAGAAATATCACTGAATTCTTTTCCCAGCAAGGAATAACCCTGAGAAAGGAACTCCCAGGGGGAGTTCTCTAAATGGCTCCTCTGGGAGTGTCTGTCTGATGCAGTTGAAGATAAGGGATGAAATATGCCCTGGTCTCCTGCAGTGCCCTCAGGCTTGCTAGGATTAGGAAATTCCAGCCTGGCAAATTCTAGTCAGACTGGTTGTCTGCTCTCAAACCCTGTTTCCTGTTAACATGTTTATCAATGACAATGCGTACCCAGCAGGACATGAAACCTCATCAATAATTCTAATTTCACCCTGGCCTTGTGATCTTGCTCTGCCTCTCTGCCCTTGTGATCTTTTATTGCCCTTTCAAGCATGTGATCTTTGTGACTTACTCCCTGTTTGTACCGCTGTCCCCTTTTGAAATTCCTAACAAAAACTTGCTGGTTTTGTGGCTCAAGGGGCATCACAGAACCTGCCAATATGTGATGTCACCCCCGGAGGCCTAGCTGTAAAATTTCTCTCTTTGTACTCTTTCTTTTTATTTCTCAGACCAGCTGACACTTAGGGAAAATAGAAAAGAACCTACATTGAAATATTGGGGGCTGGTTCCCCCGATATACATTTGTATCAGATAAAATAAATTTCAGGACAAAAACTGTAAGAAGGGACAAAGAAGGTCATTATATAATGATAAAGGTGTAAATCTAGCAACAGTATATAAAAATTATAAATATATATGCACCCAACACTGGAGCACACAGATAAATATGTCAAATATGATTAGAGCTAAAGAGAGAAATAGACCTCAATTCAATAATAGCTGAAGATTCCACACCCCACTTACAACATTGGAAAGATCTCCCAGACAGAATCTCAACAAAGAAAAATTGGAGCTTAATCTGCACTGTAGAACAAATGTACCTAATAGGTATTTACAGAATATTTTATTCAAAGGTTGCAGAATGCACATTCTTCTCCTCATAATGTGGATCACCCAAGGGTAGACCCTATGTTACATCACAAAACAAGCCTTGAAACATTAAAATAATGGAAATAATATTAAGCATCTTCTCTTACCATAATCAAATCGTAATCAAAACTGGAACTCAACAAGAAGAATTTTGGAAACTATATGAACACATGGAAATTAAACAATATGCTTCTAAATAACCAGTGGGTCAATGAAAAACTTCAGAAGACAATTGAAAAATTCCCTGAAACAAATGATAATGAAAACACAACATACCAAAACCTATGGAATACAGTAAAAAACATTACTAAGAGAAACATTTATAGCTATAGTTTTCTTACATCAAAAAAGAACAAAAACTTAAAATGGATAACATAATGATGCATCTTAAATAATGAATAAAGCAGAGAAAACAAAACCTAAACTTATTAGAAGAAAATAAAGATCAGAGCAGGAATGAATGAATTCAAAATGAAGAAAACAATACAAAAGATCAATGAAACAAAAAGTTGGTTTTCTGAAAAGATAAACATTGACAAATCTTTATCCAGAATAACAAATTAAAAAAGAGAGAATACCCAAATAAACAAAATTTGAGAGAAAAAGCAGACATTAAAACTGATCCCACAGAAATTCAAAGGATCATTAGGGGATACTGTAAGTAACTACATGCCAATAAATTGGAAAATATAGAGGAAAGTGACAAAATCCTAGACACATACAACCTACCAAGACTGAACCATGAAGAAATTCAAAACCTGAAGGGACCAATAACAAGTAACAAGATTGAAGCCATAATAAAAAAAAAGGATCCTAATATAAAAAGCCTGGGACCCAATGGCTTCCCCACTGAGTTCTTCCAAGCATTAAAAGATGAACTAATACCAATCCTACTCAAACTATGCTGAAAAAAAAAGAGAAAAAATATTTCCAAGCTGATTCTATTTAAGTGGCATCATTCGTCTGGGGTAATACCCAAGTTTCCTTATTGCACACCAAGGAAATCAAGGATGTGGACACACAAGGAGTGAGGTTAAGAGTGGAGGTTTAACAAGCAAAAGAAAGAGAAAAGCTCTCTCCTGTTGAGAGAGGAGTCCCAATCGGGTCTTCCAGTCAACGGTGAAGTGCAAGAGGTTTTATAGTTGAGCTTGCGGAGGTGGTGTTTTATTTACATAGGGCACGAAAGATTGATTGGACCAGGTGTGTCATTTGCACAGCACGTGAAAATCTGGCCACCCCGACTGTAATCTTTTATTATGCAGATAGGTTCTCTACTGGCCGGTGCCATGTTGCCTGTTCCTTTACTGTACATGTGGTGACAAAGAAAAGGGAAGATGGGACTCCATGTTGAACATACCTTGCTTCTAGGTAGCCCTTTTCTATTGGCACAGCTGCTGGCATTCACCTGTGCAAGCTTCTAACTTGCTTATCTATGTCTGCAGCTCAATTTTCCAGGCTGCTCTTTGTTAGAGAAGAAATTTGGGGGCTGCTTTTTGTTAAAAGAGAAATTTCGCTGAGGACTCTGTTACCCTTACTATCTGTCTAAATAATTTCTTTCTATTTCCTCTATCACTATGAAGTCTGTATTACCCTGACACCAAAACCAAAGATACATCACTAAAGAAAACTACAAGCTAATATCTATGATAAATATTGATGCAGAAATCCTCAACAAATACTAGCAAACTGAATTCAATAAACATTAAAAAGATCACTAATTATGATCAAATTAGATTTATCCCAGGAATACAAGAAAGGTTCAACAAACACCAATCAATTTATTTGATACATCATAAAAACCAAATGAAGAACAAAAACCATATGATCATCTGAATTGATGCTGAAAAAGTATTTGATAAAATTCAACATCCATTCTTGATAAAAAAAAATCTTCAAGAAACTGGTTATAGATCGGATATACCTCAACATAATGAAAGCCATATATGGCAGGCCTATTGCTAGTATCACACTGAATGGAGAAAAACTGAAAGCCTCTTCTCTAAGATCCAGAACATGACAAGGCTGCCCACTTTTACCACTGTTATTCAACATAGTACTGGAAGTCCTAGCCAGAGCAGTCAGATGAAAGAAACAAAATACATGCAAATTGGAAAGGGAGAAGTCAATTTATCCTTGTTTACAGATAATATTATCTTACATTGGAAAAAAAATAAAATACTGAACCAAAAATCTATTTGAACTGATAAACAAAGTCAGTAAAGTTGCAGGATACAAGTTCAACATACAAAAATCAATAGCCTTTCTATATGCCAAGAGTGAACAATCTGAAAAAGAAATTTTAAAAAGTAATTCCATTTACAATAGCCACAAATAAAATTAAATACCTAGGAATTAACCAAACAAGTGAAAAAAAATCTCTATAATAAAAACCATAAAACACTGATAAAAAATTAAATATGACACAAATATTGAAAAGATATTATAGATTCATTGATTAGATGAATCAACATCGTTAAAATGTCCATATTACACAAAGAAATCTACAGATGCAATTGTGATCTCTATCAAAATGCCAATGGCATTCTTCACAGAAATAGAAAAATAATCATAAAATTCATAGGGAACCACAAAAGACTCATGGCCAAACTGAAGGAACCATATTATCTGACTTCAAATTACACTACAGAGCTATAGTAACCAAAACATCATAGTACTGGCATAAAAACACACACATAGATCAATGGAACAGAATAGAGAACCCAGAAACAAATCCATAAACTCACAGTGAACTCATTTTTGACAAATATGCCAAGAGCATACATTGGAGACAGGACAGTCTCTAATAAATGGTGCTCAGATAAATGAATATGTATATGCAGAGGAATAAATCTTGATTCCTATTACTTGCCATATAAAACAATAAAATCAAAATGGATTAAGGACTTAAACCGAAGACCTTGAACTATGAAACTACTACAAGGATACATTGGAGAAACTCTCCAGGATATTGGTCTGGACACAAATTCCTTGACTAATATTCACACGATCACAGGTGACCAAAGCAAAAGTGGAAAAATGGTATCTCATCAAGTTAAAAGGCTTCTGTTCAGTGAAGGAAGCAATCAACAAAGTGAAGAGACAACCCATAGGATGGGAGACAATATTTACAAACTACCCATCTGACAAGGGATTAATAACCAGGATGCGTAAGCAGCTCAAACAACTCCACAGGTATATATATATTTAAAAGTCTAATGATCTGATTTAAAAATGGGCAAAAGATTTGAATAGATGTTTCTCAAAAGAAGACATATAAATGGCAGACATATGAAAAGGTACTCAACATCATTGATTGTCAGATGAATGCCAATCAAACTACAATGAGGTATCATCCCACCCCAGTTAAAATGGTTTTTATACAAAAGACAGGTAATACCAAATGCTGGAGAAGATGTGAATAAAAAGGAACTATTGTACACTGTTGGTGAGAATGTGAACTAGTACAACCACTATGAAGAACAGTTTGGATGTTCATCAAAAAAACTAAAAATAGAGCTGCCATATGATCCAGGAATCCCACTGCTGAGTATATAGCCCAAAGAAGGGAAATTAATACATCATAAAATAGTAAACACTTCGATGTTTGTTGCAGCACTGTTTGCAGTAGCCAAGATTTGGAAGCAACCTAAGTGTCAATCAACACATGAATAGATAAAGCAAAGAACACATGAATAGATAAATAGATACACACACTGGAGTACTATCCAACCATAAAAAGAATGAAATCCTGTCATTTGCAACAACATGGATGGAAGCAGAAATCATTATGTTATGTGAAATAAGCCAGACACAGAGAGACAATTATTGCCTGTTCTCACTTATTTGTAGAATGCAAAAATCAACATAATTGAACACGTAGAGACAGAGAGTAGAAATATGGTCATCAGAGACTAGGAAGGATAGTGGAGGTTGGGAGAGGTGGTGATGGCTAATGGATACAAAACAGTAGTTAGAAAGTATGATAATACCTAGGATTTGAAAGCACTGCAAGGTAACTACAGTGCTTTCAAAAATTACACTGTAATTTTCACTACAGTGAAAATTATTTAACCTTGCATTTTAAAATATCTAAAAGGATATAATTGGATTGTATGTAATATAAAGGATAAATGCTTGAGGGGATGGATACCTCATTTTCCATTATGTGGTTATTACATAGTGCATGCCTGTATCAAAATATGTCATGTACCCCATATATAATATTTATTATTTATATATATTTATTTATTTATATAAATATATATATATTTGCTATGTATCCACAAAAATTAAAAAAAACACAGTAAACAAAAGGAAGTAGACTTCCAAGAGAAAGTCTCAAAACTACACATTGCATTGAAACCCAACAACTTGCTCATAAATGATGTTTTTTTAAAGAATGAAATTACAGTTTAAAGAATGAAATTACGGCAGAAATTTAAAAAAATTGAAATGAATAAACATAGAGACACCACATATCACAACTTCAGTGATACAGCAAAAGCAGTGCTAAGACGGAAGCTTATCACATCAAATGTCCACATCAAAAGAACAGAAGGATATCAAATTAACCACCTAGCATCACAGCTGAAGGAACTAGAATAACAAGAGAAAAGAAAATCCAAAGCTAATGGAAGAAAAGAAATAACTGTCAAGAAAAGATCAGAGCAGAAGTAAATGAGATTGAGACCAAAATCTATATAAAGGATCAATAAAACCAAGTTTTTTATTTGAAAGAATAAGCAAAATTGTTAGGCTGCTAGTTTGATTAACCAATAAAAAAAGATAGAAGATTTAAATAAGCACAATCAGAAATGATAAAAGTGACATTACAACTGATACCACATAAATTAATTTGATATTGGTCCTTTAATTGTTGAGATTTGAAAATTCTTTGTATATTCTAGACACAAGTTCTTTCTCAGAAATGTGATTAACATTATATTTACTTCAAATTCGTGGCTTGCTTATATTTTTATTCTGTTAACACTCTTCCACGGAACAAATGTTTTAATTTTGATGGTATAATTTATTTTTCTATAACAGGTCATACTTATGATACCCTATGTATAAACTGCCTAATCTAAGATCACAAAGATTTTATCCTATGTTTTCTTCCATATAATTTATAATTTTATGTTTTACTTTCAGGTCTGTGGTTCATGTGGGGCTAACTTTTTGTATAAAGGGTAATGCCTGGATAGAAATGAACTTTTGGTTCATGGTTGTCCAATTCTTCCACATACTTTGTTGACAGGAGAAGCCAGTTTCCATTGAATTAATTAGGACATTTCCTCAAAATTCGGTGAAATAATATTTCTGTGAGTCTACTTTTGGAATTTTTATCATGTTCCATTGATTTATCTGTCTATTCTTTTGCCAAGAACACATAGTCTTGATTACTTTTTCTTTCTTGCCTCATTGCACTGGCTAGGAATTCCAACGTAATAGTGGATAGGTGTGATGAGAGAGCCTTCTTTCTGAACATAGCAGTGCAACATTTAGTCTTTCATTATTTATTACTGCCACTCTTGTACATCTTGGAATTCTTGTACAGTTCCAAAAATATTTCTGGTGGGAATATTCTGCAATATGAGAATTTCATTGTTTGTACCATATGCCACTGTAATTTGTGGTACTGTTTTACTGGACTTGGTGTACTTTTTGAGAGCAGGGAAAAAGCCCAAATTGTAATATGGAAAGCACATCATTAGGCCATGTAAGTGTTTGTTGAAATGGAATCAATAATCATGTTATTATTATTGTCACATTAAGTTTTAATAATTTGGAGTTATTTTAGAAGATAAGAATTAAACAATATTAAGGTGATGCATAAGATTATTTTATCAACTAAAATACAACTTAATACATGTATCATTCTTTTTTTATTAGTATTATACTTTAAGTTTTAGGGTGCATGTGCACAATGTGCAGGTTAGTTACATATGTATACATGTGCCATGCTGGTGCGCTGCAACCACTAACTCGTCATCTAGCATTAGGTATATCTCCCAATGTTATCCCTCCCCCCTCCCCCCACCCCACAGCAGTCCCCAGAGTGTGATGTTCCCCTTCCTGTGTCCATGTGTTCTCATTGTTCAATTCCCACCTATGAGTGAGAATATGCGGTGTTTGCTTTTTTGTTCTTGTGATAGTTTACTGAGAATGATGATTTCCAATTTCATCCATGTCCCTATAAAGGACATGAACTCATCATTTTTTATGGCTGCATAGTATTCCATGGTGTATATGTGCCACATTTTCTTAATCCAGTCTATCATTGTTGGACATTTGGGTTGGTTCCAAGTCTTTGCTATTGTGAATAGTGCCGCAATAAACATACGTGTGCATGTGTCTTTATAGCAGCATGATTTATAGTCCTTTGGGTATATACCCAATAATGGGATGGCTGGGTCAAATGGTATTTCTAGTTCTAGATCCCTGAGGAATCGCCACACTGACTTCCACAAGGGTTGAACTAGTTTACAGTCCCACCAACAGTGTAAAAGTGTTCCTATTTCTCCTCATCCTCTCCAGCACCTGTTGTTTCCTGACTTTTTAATGATTGCCATTCTAACTGGTGTGAGATGGTATCTCATTGTGGTTTTGATTTGCATTTCTCTGATGGCCAGTGATGATGAGCATTTTTTCATGTGTTTTTTGGCTGCATAAATGTCTTCTTTTGAGAAGTGTCTGTTCATGTCCTTCGCCCACTTTTTGATGTGGTTGTTTGTTTTTTTCTTGTAAATTTGTTTGAGTTCATTGTAGATTCTGGATATTAGCCCTTTGTCAGATGAGTAGGTTGAGAAAATTTTCTCCCATTTTGTAGATTCCCTGTTCACTCTGATGGTAGTTTCTTTTGCTGTGCAGAAGCTCTTTAGTTTAATGAGATCCTATTTGTCAATTTTGGCTTTTGTTGCCATTGCTTTTGGTGTTTTAGACATGAAGTCCTTGCCCATGCCTATGTCCTGAATGGTAACGCCTAGGTTTTCTTCTAGGGTTTTTATGGTTTTAGGTCTAACATTTAAGTCTTTAATCCATCTTGAATTGATTTTTGTATCAGGTGTAAGGAAGGGATCCAGTTTCAGCTTTCTACATATGGCTAGCCAGTTTTCCCAGCACCATTTAATAAATAGGGAATCCTTTCCCCATTCCTTGTTTTTGTCAGGTTTGTCAAAGATCAGATAGTTGTAGATATGCGGCGTTATTTCTGAGGGCTCTGTTCTGTTCCATTGATCTATATCTCTGTTTTGGTACCAGTACCATGCTGTTTTGGTTACTGTAGCCTTGTAGTATAGTTTGAAGTCAGGTAGTGTGATGCCTCCGGCTTTGTTCTTTTGGCTTAGGATTGACTTGGCGATGCGGGCTCTTTTTTGGTTCCATATGAACTTTAAAGTAGTTTTTTCCAATTCTGTGAAGAAAGTCATTAGTAGCTTGATGGGGATGGCATTGAATCTATAAATTACCTTGGGCAGTATGGGCATTTTCACGATATTGATTCTTCCTACCCATGAGCATGGAATATTCTTCCATTTGTATCCTCTTTTATTTCCTTGAGCAGTGGTTTGTAGTTCTCCTTGAAGAGGTCCTTCACATCCCTTGTAAGTTGGATTCCTAGGTATTTTATTCTCTTTGAAGCAATGTGAATGGGAGTTCACTCATGATTTGGTGCTCTGTTTGTCTATTGTTGGTGTATAAGAATGCTTGTGATTTTTGTACATTGATTTTGTATCCTGAGACTTTGCTGAAGTTGCTTATCAGCTTAAGGAGATTTTGGGCTGAGACAATGAGGTTTTCTAGATATACAGTCATGTCGTCTGCAAACAGGGACAATTTGACTTCCTCTTTTCCTAATCGAATACTCTTTATTTCCTTCTCCTGCCTAATTGCCCTGGCCAGAACTTCCAACACTGTGTTGAATAGGAGTGGTGAGAGAGGGCATCCCTGTCTTGTGCCAGTTTTCAAAGGGAATGCTTCCAGTTTTTGCCCATTCAGTATGATATTGGCTGTGGGTTTGTCATAGATAGCTCTTATTATTTTGAAATACGTCCCATCAATACCTAATTTATTGAGAGTTTTTAGCATGAAGCGTTGTTGAATTTTGTCAAAGGCCTTTTCTGCATCTATTGAGATAATTATGTGGTTTTTGTCTTTGGTTCTGTTTATATGCTGGATTATATTTATTGATTTGCGTATATTGAACCAGCCTTGCATCCCAGGGATGAAGCCCACTTGCTCATGGTGAATAAGCTTTTTGATGTGCTGCTGGATTCGGTTTGCCAGTATTTTATTGAGGATTTTTGCATCAATGTTCATCAAGGATATTGGTCTAAAATTCTCTTTTTTGGTTGTGTCTCTGCCCGGCTTTGGTATCAGGATGATGCTGGCCTCATAAAATGAGTTAGGGAGGATTCCCTCTTTTTCTATTGATTGGAATAGTTTCAGAAGGAATGGTACCAGTTCTTCCTTGTACCTCTGGTAGAATTCGGCTGTGAATCCATCTGGTCCTGGGCTCTTTTTGGTTGGTAAGCTATTGATTATTGCCACAATTTGAGCTCCTGTTATTGGTCTATTCAGAGATTCAACTTCTTCCTGGTTTAGTCTTGGGAGAGTGGATGTGTCGAGGAATTTATCCATTGCTTCTAGATTTTCTAGTTTATTTGTGTAGAGGTGTTTGTAGTATTCTCTGATGGTAGTTTGTATTTCTGTGGGATCGGTGGTGATATCCCCTTTATCAATTTTTATTGCATCTATTTGGTTCTTCTCTCTTTTTCTTTATTAGTCTTGCTAGCGGTCTATCAATTTTGTTGATCCTTTCAAAAAACCAGCTCCTGGATTCATTAATTTTTTGAAGAGTTTTTTGTGTCTCTATTTCCTTCAGTTCTGCTCTGATTTTAGTTATTTCTTGCTTTCTGCTAGCTTTTGAATATGTTTGCTCTTGCTTTTCTAGTTCTTTTAATTGTGATGCTAGGTTGTCAATTTTGGATCTTTCCTGCTTTCTCTTGTGGGCATTTAGTGCTATAAATTTCCCTCTACACACTGCTTTGAATGAGTCCCAGAGATTCTGGTATGTTGTGTCTTTGTTCTCATTGGTTTCAAAGAACATCTTTATTTCTGCCTTCATTACGTTATGTACCCAATAGTCATTCAGGAGCAGGTTGTTCAGTTTCCATGTAGTTGAGCAGTTTTGAGTGAGATTCTTAATCCTGAGTTCTAGTTTGATTGCACTGTGGTCTGAGAGATAGTTTGTTATAATTTCTGTTCTTTTACATTTGCTGAGGAGAGCTTTACTTCCAAGTATGTGGTCAGTTTTGGAATAGGTGTGGTGTGGTGCTGAAAAAAATGTATATTCTGTTGATTTGGGGTGGAGAGTTCTGTAGATGTCTATTAGGTCCGCTTGGCACAGAGCTGAGTTCAATTCCTGGGTATCCTTGTTAACTTTCTGTCTCTTTGATCTGTCTAATGTTGACAGTGGGGTGTTAAAGTCTCCCATTATTAATGTGCGGGAGTCTAAGTCTCTTTGTAGGTCACTTAGGACTTGCTTTATGAATCTGGGTGCTCCTGTATTGGGTGCATATATATTTAGGATAGTTAGCTCTTCTTGTTGAATTGATCCCTTTACCATTATGTAATGGCCTTCTTTGTCTCTTTTGATCTTTGTTGGTTTAAAGTCTGTTTTATCAGAGACTAGGATTGCAACCCCTGCCTTTTTTTGTTTTCCATTTGCTTGGTAGATCTTCTTCCATCCTTTTATTTTGAGCCTATGTGTGTCTCTGCATGTGAGATGGGTTTCCTGAATACAGCACGCTGATGGGTCTTGACTCTTTGTCCAATTTGCCAGTCTGTGTCTTTTAATTGGAGCATTTAATCCATTTACATTTAAAGTTAATATTGTTATGTGTGAATTTGATCCTGTCATTATGATGTTAGCTGGTTATTTTGCTCATTAGTTGATGCAGTTTCTTCCTAGTCTCGATGGTCTTTACATTTTGGCATGATTTTGCAGCGGCTGGTACCGGTTGTTCCTTTCCATGTTTAGCACTTCCTTCAGGAGCTCTTTTAGGGCAGGCCTGGTGGTAACAAAATCTCTCAGCATTTGCTTGTCTGTAAAGTATTTTATTTCTCCTTCACTTATGAAGCTTAGTTTGGCTGGATATGAAATTCTGTGTTGAAAATTCTTTTCTTTAAGAATGTTGAATATTGGCCCCCACTCTCTTCTGGCTTGTAGAGTTTCTGCGAGAGATCTGCTGTTAGTCTGATGGGCTTCCCTTTGAGGGTAACCCGACCTTTCTCTCTGGCTGCCCTTAACATTTTTTCCTTCATTTCAACTTTGGTGAATCTGACAATTGTGTGTCTTGGAGTTGCTCTTCTCGAGGAGTATCTTTGTGGCATTCTCTGTATTTCCTGCATCTGAATGTTGGCCTGCCTTGCTAGATTGGGGAAGTTCTCCTGGATAATATCCTGCAGAGTGTTTTCCAACTTGGTTCCATTCTCCCTGTCAGTTTCAGGTACACCAATCAGACATAGATTTGGTCTTTTCACATAGTCCCATATTTCTTGGAGGCTTTGCTCGTTTCTTTTTATTCTTTTTTCTCTAAACTTCCCTTCTCGCTTCATTTCATTCATTTCATCCTCCATTGCTGATACCCTTTCTTCCAGTTGATCGCATCGGCTCCTGAGGCTTCTGCATTCTTCACGTAGTTCTCGAGCCTTGGTTTTCAGCTCCATCAGCTCCTTTAAGCACTTCTCTATATTGGTTATTCTAGTTATATATTCTTCTAAATTTTTTTCAAAGTTTTCAACTTCTTTGCCTTTGGTTTGAATGTCCTCCCATAGCTCGGAGTAATTTGATCGTCTGAAGCCTTCTTCTCTCAGCTCGTCAAAGTCATTCTCCGTCCAGCTTTGTTCCGTTGCTGGTGAGGAACTGCGTTCCTTTGGAGGAGGAGAGGCACTCTGCTTTTTAGAGTTTCCAGTTTTTCTGCTCTGTTTTTTCCCCATCTTTGTGGTTTTATCTACTTTTGGTCTTTGATGATGCTGATGTACAGATGGGTTTTTGGTGAGGATGTCCTTTCTGTTTGTTAGTTTTCCTTCTAACAGACAGGACCCTCAGCTGCAGGTCTGTTGGAGTACCCGGCTGTGTGAGGTGTCAGTCTGCCCCTGCTGGGGGGTGCCTCCCAGTTAGGCTGCTCAGGGGTCAGGGGTCAGGGACCCACTTGAGGAGGCAGTCTGCCCATTCTCAGATCTCCAGCTGCGTGCTGGGAGAACCACTGCTCTCTTCAAAGCTCAGATGGAAATGCAGAAATCACCCGTCTTCTGCGTTGCTCATGCTGGGAGCTGTAGACCGGAGCTCTTCCTATTCAGCCATCTTGGCTTCTCCCCAATACATGTATCATTCTGATTGCTTTCAATTAAAAAAAGGCTGAATGAAAAGTCTATTTTTCAAATATTGCTCATGAATTTTTTCTATAATTAATTCACTCTTTATTACACATCCTGGATAGTTTAATGTAATAAAGAAAATATACCTTTCTTGAAGAACAAGCATATTTACAGTGCTTTGGGTTGCTATTGTGAATGTAAACAATCATTTTATGTCACTGTAACTTTAGCTGTTGAAGGATAACAGTGATGTCTTTAGTATGAGGTGGAGAACAATGCATTTTTTAGAACAATTATTAGGCCCACAGAATCTCACCTTTAACATGAAGTATTTACACAGACTACCTTCTAATCAGTGGACTATAAACAGTACACAAGACTTCAGAAATGTTTTCAGACTGAGTATATGGTTTTACCTGTTTACAACCTAAATGAATAACCTCTTGATAGCATTCTTCTCCATTGCAGAAACCTCTACCACACAAATTTTCTGGCTTTCCCTTAAGGTTGAGATAGTTAGATTATGCATTGGTTAGTCCTGTCTGTTTACTTCATTTGTATATGCTTTTTCTCAGAACAATATTATTCACCTAATATGAGCTCAGTCTATGCTATAAGGTCTGAACACTTCAGCCTCAGCCAGCTGTCTTTTCCTGGGGTGCTCCTTCTGGGGTTGCCTCTCATACAGTCATAAGACTTAAAAACTGCAGATTTCCTCTTAATATGTTACATATTTCACCCAATGCCTTGTATGAAGTAATTTGCTTAACATATTTTAGTTTTAATTATAAACTTCTTCAATAAAATAAAATTTCCGTCTGAGCAATATCGACAAAGAGAAAGCATACTATTTTTCAGATTATGTATTTAGTTTATACTTCTAGTGTTCAGCAATTCACTACTTTCCTTTATACTTTAGTTTACTTACTCATGAAGTAGAAGTTTGAGTAAGACTATTTTAAGGGTGGTGTTAATCAAAACTGAGGATGTGTTCATGACTCTTCACATAGATAGATATGTGGAGTTAAAACTCCCATGATTAATATTTCCCTTTAGAAATTTTCATTGAGTAGCTATTACTACAACTGTCTGACATGTTGAATTTGCATATTTATGGTTCCAACATTTGCTTACCAACAAACTTAATTATTATAATGTATTGAAGAGCCAAAGCAACAGAAACTCATGCAACACAAAACATGGATTAAGGTATACCCAAAGGACATTACAGATAACTAAACTCTGAAAGAATTATTCAAAATAGATTTAATATATTTAATATGCATTGGTTTTAGTAATATCATAAACAATGTACAATCTATAAGAGAAAAGATATTACTTTGAGCAGCATGTTATTCTCAAAGGCAGATTGATATATACTAAGAAGAAAACATTGTTATGTGTCTCTATTTGAAGTGTCACAATAAATATTTGAAGAAATGTAGTACTGTACTCATTTTTTTTTTCTGAAACCTATGAATGCGCTCATATATCAAGGAAATGCAATCTGTTAAAGAATGTCATTAGGACAAACATACAGAAAATGGAATCACACAGTAAATCTGAAATTGCTTATTTTAACAATATTGCAAATATTTAATCTAATTAATATGTAGGCTAAAATGTCCAACAATGATAGACTGGATTAAGAAAATGTGGCACACATACACCATGGAATACTATGCAGCCATAAAAAATGATGAGTTCATGTCCTTTGCAGGGACATGCATGAAGCTAGAAACCATCATTCTCAGCAAACTATCGCAAGGACAAAAAACCAAACACCGCATGTTCTCACTCATAGATAGGAATTGAACAATGAGAACACGTGGACACAGGAAGGGGAACATCACATACCGGGGCCTGTTGTAGGGTGGGGGGAGGGGGGAGGGATAGCATTAGGAGATATACCTAATGTTAAATGACGAGTTAATGGGTGCAGCACACCAACATGGCACATGAATACATACGTAACAGACATGCACATTGTGCACATGTACCCCAAAACTTAAAGTATAATAAAAAAAAAAAAAATATATATATATATATATATATATATATATATATATATATATATATATATATGTGTAGGCTAATCAGCTGAAGCACTGACTAGAACAACAATCCAGTGGGTCTCTATTATATTATCGCTATTCACCTACAGAAAGTGTGTGTCAATTGTTAGCTTGTGTAGCCATTTAATTAGAATTTCCTCAAATATTTGTTTGGAATGTATTGAGGAGATTTTCTAATTTAATTTAATGTTATAGTTAATACTGAATATTAGCAATATATCTTATAATGAAATAATTTTTTGTTTACCAGAATTACTATTTTTAATGGATAACTGTTTCCAATTCAATGCATTTTACCTTTTATTTGTATTCTAAAGTCTTTTGATTCCTTTTGGTCTCTGTTTTCATGAGTATTTGGGTGTCCACTTACTATCTAGTGTGCTTATGCCAGTTTTCCATTTTAGGATTTAAAGGCAGAATTAAGCTGGACTAATAGAAATGATGGAGGAGTTCATCTTTTCAATTATTGAAAAATTAATGGAGCACAATTATTATCTGCATTATTTGTCTACTTTAAGATATATCTGACACCTGACTTCATCTTAGTTCTGAAGTTTCTTCCAGTCCTGTTTAAAATTGTTTACTTTATTTGTTTCTCTGTTCACCCGGACCATGAGTTCTTGCCTACCAAATCAGTAGAATTTGAGGTGGTGATAGTTACAGAAGAAAATACACTTAAATGTACAAAGGGAATATGAAGACATAACTTTCCTTATTAGCTCATAACCATGCAAATTAACCTGAAATAAATGAGTCTATTTTTATTAACAACCCCAATCGAAATATTATCAAGCCAAATCCTTTTCTAAAGTTCAATGTTAGTTACACTTAAAAATCAACTCCCGGTTTTAACAACAACAATAACAAAATATTTTATTTACATAGACTGTTGCCTTTTTAACTCATGGGCCAAACATTACTTATTACAACTTGCTATGGTTTGAATGTGTCCCCCAAAAAGTATGTGTGGGAAGCATGATCCCCAATCCAACAGTGTTTGTAGCTGGGGCCTAATGGTAGATGTTTAGGTTATGAGAGCTTTTCCAATCAGGTTTCAGCTGTGTTTAGTTTGCTAGAGCTATTACAAAAAGTCCCACAAACTGGGTATTGCAAAAAAAAAAAAAGAGCATTGTATCATGTTCAGATAGATACCTGCACATATATATATATGTGTGTGTGTAGACATGTATGTGTGTGTATGTATATATATGAATGTACATATCTATCTGTCATGTTCATATGGTGCGCATTCTGTATGTGTGTCTGTTTCCAAATTTCCCCTTATTATAGAGATAAGTCATATTTGATTAGAGCCTGATTTAATGAACTTATTTTAACTTATCTCTGTAAAGACATTATTCTAAAATAAGATGACAATCTGAGATCTGAGATACTGGGGGTTAGGATAGCACCATAAGAGATTTGGGGGGACACAATTTAACCTATAATAATCAATCTTTTAAAGACTTACTCTATTTTATCTTTATTTTTATTTTAATATGTAATCCTTTTATTTTTATTTTAATGTGTAATCCTTGAGTAACAACTGAAATTTATTTGGTTTATTAAACCCCTTCAATCTTGTTTAACTATGGACTTCAAGTTTTATCTACTTCATTACTGAGATGATCAGATCAGCTTAGCTCTTAGTCATTTGACAGCCCTTTTCCTCTTGACTTCTCTGCCAACTGGCATAAATTGATAAGAATCAGCAAATGTGCCTCAAGGAGAAAATTGCCAAAAATATTGGTTTACTTCTCTATGATTATCTTCGGGAACTTTTGGCCCCTTATATTCTAGATGCCTTAGTATTATTGAATTACCATTTTGTCTTAACAGCCATGTGACACAGTTGACAGCACTTTTCGTATTCTCTGACTTGTACCAATCACTTTGTCAACATCTCCAACTCATCCAAGATGCTTATAAACTGGCAAATCTTGGAGTAAAGAAAGTAGAAGGATCTATTGGCTCATCGCAATGACTTCCTTTTCTTCAGGTGTGTGACCTCTCATATTAGGGCTGCCTTGAGAGGTTGAACTGATTTTTTTTTTCATTTTATCCAATGTTTCTCATTGTCTCAGAGAGGAGTAGGCTGAACCAAGCCATTCAATAGGCAAAAGCAGAAATTGACCTTTCATTTTTAGTTTTCCTTTACTTCCTGTATAAAATGACATCCATTCCTCACTGAACTTATTCCAAATTATTTTATTTATTTCTGTTTACGCCTTAAAAGTCAATTTTCTATTTTAAGCCATAAATTAGCTCTGTTAGAAGTAGTATATTGCCACAATTAAGATAATAGTTTTTTAGAGCCAGAGAGTCTCTGTCTTTGTGAACTTTGAGTTATTTAAACTATCTATGCTTTCAGATATTTTGTCAATCTTGTCAACTAGAGGTAATAACTGCATCAACCACCTGTCTTGTCATGAATATTAAATAATTTAACATATGCAAATTTGTGTGGCACTTTGTAAGTGTTAAATATATTTTAGATACTATGTTTATATTTCATGAACTTTTACATTCATTCTAACAAATAATAGTTCACATGGGATATGATTAACATTATATTTCTCAATTGTACACTCTGAATAACAATTTTGAAATATGAAAACTTCTGGCAGAACTGTATTATAAAGACTATGGTCAGTCATTTTTATTATATTTTATGCTTAAAAAAAGAAGCATATTGTCCTAGTACCTTCAGGAGTCTGCACAAAAGAGAGTATTATCTCTTTTCTTTCTAGCTATTATTATTACTGTAGTACCTATCATTCTTTGCAAATATTGAAAGGGAAAATAGTTTATATCTTTGTAATGTAAGTCTCTTGAAGGATGCACAACTTTCCTATACCGCAATCAAATTAGCTATGATCTTTGAAATTAGCTTAGTTCTATAAAATTGCAGTAATCATTAAAGACAACATAGAAAACATAAACTTGCTTAAAGATTATACTCATAAAATCTATAGAAAATGTTTTCTTTCTTTTCCTCTTTCTTTCTCTCTACTGCTCCTCTAAGATGATGAAGGTTGTGATTATGGAAGTTTTTCTTTTAACAAGATACCTTTTTTCTTTCTATGGCCAATAAATATATATCTAATATATAATTTTATATATGGTGATATGTGATATAGATACATAAAATAGATATATATCTGTGTTTAGTCTGTATATTAGTCCATTTTCTGGTGCTTATAACAGAATACCTGAAACCTGATAACTTATTTTTAAAAAGAGAAATTGATTCCTTACAATTATGGAAGCTAAGAAGTCTAAAGTCTGTGGCAAGAGACTTTTTTTCTTTTTTCAGAGATGGGATCTTGCTATGTTACCTAGGCTGGTCTTGAACTCCTGGGCAATCCTCCCACCTTAGCCTCCCAAAGGGCTGGGATTACAGGTGTGAGCCACTGTGTCTCCCTGCGAGAGACTTCTTGATGGTGGCAATTTCTTGATAGTGAGTCCCAAGGTGGTGCAGAGTATTGCATGCTGAGGGGGCTGAGCGAGTTAACATGCTTTGTCAGGTCTCTTTTTCTTTTTTTATAAAGCCACCAGTTTCCCTCCCATGATAACCCCTTAACCCATCAATGAATGAATGCGTTGATGAGAACTCTGTACTCATGACCAAATCACCTCTGAAGGGCACACCAGTCTGTTTCCTTCTATAGTTTTTATTATTTTTGTGATTATTGTTTTAAAAGGAGCTCTGAAGTCATCAAATCACACGTTTTTCAAATTTGTGAAATTATTTACATGGTATATATTCCCACTAATGGAAAGTTGAATTAAAAGGTACATACACTTTAAGGGCGTTAACCACAAGTGGTCAAATTGCCATCTAGAATGGCTATAAAATTAACTTTCTCTCAATAGTTCATGTGTAACTACTTCCCAACACACCCCGAAGACTGATAATTATTTTCTCTTTAACTTCCTCTCTCCTGATAGATAAAACGTGATACTGTTTTAATAAAGGCAAGTTAGTTTATAAAAGTTTTCATTAATTTTTTAATTTGTTACTTATTCCTTATTTTGGATTTACTTGCTTATTCATGTTCTGTATCTTTCTTTGTTTATTTGTTACTAAATGTCCTTGTACATGAAATAATTACATTACTCTAAAGAGAATGCACAGATAGCCAACAAGCACATGAAAAGATGCTCAATGTCATTATATTTAGAAAAATACAAATCAAAACCACTTTGACATGCCATTCCACACATACTAGGATGGCTATAAACAAAAAGTCCAACCATAAGGAACAGCAAGTGTCATCAAGAAGGTGGAGAAATAATCCTCATACATTGCTGGTAGAAATGTAATATTGTTCAGCAATTGTGGAAAACACTGAGATATTCACAAAGTTGCACATAGAATTACCATTCCACGGCCGTGCTCAGTGACTCACACCTGTAATCTCAGCATTTTGGGAGGCCAAGGTAGGTGGATAATAAGGTCAGGAGTTCGGGACGAGCCTGACCAATATAGTGAAACCCCCTCTCTACTAAAAATACAAAAAATTAGCCGGGAGTACTGGTGGGTGCCTGTAATCCCAGCTACTTGGGAGGCTGAGGCAGGAGAATCGCTTGAACCCGGGAGGCAGAGGTTGCAGCGAGCCAAGATCGTGCCACTGCACTCCAACCCAGGAGACAGTGCGAGACTCCGTCTCAAAAAAAAAAAAAAAAAAAAAGAATTACCATTTCATGTTCAGCAATTTCTAAGTCTAGCAATTCCACTCACACAGGTATTCAAACAAATACTTGTACATGAATGTTCATCACAGTACTATTTTTAATAGCCAAAAGCTGAAACAACCTGAATGTCCATCAGTAGACGAATAGATAAACAAATTATAGTAGAAACATATAGGGAATATCATTAAACCACAAAGTTAGTAATACATGACACAATTGCCAAATTCAGGTAATTTAATAAGAACTTCTTGATCTTATTGTTAATGCAATTTACAGACAATTATTTTGGCTATAAATTCAGAGCATATGAGAGTCATGTATCCTCAAACTCTCTTATTACTTCCAATACTCCTTTTGTATGCCTCCAAATTCTCCTGTTGTATCCAGTTTTCAAGCCCTGACATTTTTTTTCTCTCTAGAATATCCTAGGATTTTTCCTTCTTCTAAACTCCACCTCTGTAACTCTCAACTCCCATGTCCACACTAGAGTGTTTTCCCTGTTCCCTGATTCTTATTCATCTCTCTCAGATCATCTGAGTCAACGTTTTCTGTCCATCCGTGCCTCTATTTTTGGGAGATTCAAACAACACTCTGATACATTATGATTCCCATCTTTTCCCAATGAGAATATTCCCCTTTTCTGCACCAAAAAAGAAAAACCTGTGAAGAAAAACTAAAATTTCACTGACATCTTCAAAAGTCTTTTAAAAATTACATCCAATGCAAACTTAAATTGCCAAAGACCATATAGATTAAATTAGGTGTTTCGCTTTTTAGTAGATACTTAAATTAGACCAGGTAATCATTTGGCAAAATTAATCATGCATCAAAGTAGTCTTCAGCCAAACTTTTTAGCCTGCTTTTCAGAAATATCAAATTTCCTGGAAGCATGTTATCCTTAAGGGACATGTAGAAGAGAAACTAGAGAAACTACGGTTGGCAAGTAGCTCAACAGCTGTTGATTATGGCCACTGAAAAGAACAAGATCTAAATAAGAGACACGAACACACAAAAATCCATGGAAGGTTGAATTAATAAGTGATGAAAGAGGAATTATTGAGGTGAAAGTAGAAATGATAAACACATTCCAGAGATGGTTCATTTGAAAACAATAATAAATAACAAAAATATTTAACAGATATTGTCAAAAAAAGAGAAAAATAAGCAAAGTGACACAAAATTATAGGTGAGAATAAAGACACAACCATAGAGTAAATAAAATAATTTTATGCAATTAATTTTCTCAACTGTATGGAAATTAGTTTACAATCTTTGCCTAAATGTTGTAGAAAACTATAAATTGTCAAATGAATACCAGGATAGAAAACAATTTAAAAGTCAAATTGTCAAAAATATAAAATTATTGAATTGTTTTCTAATTAAAGCACTAGTCACAACTATTTTCACAGATGTATTCAATGACATATTTGAGAAAGTAGTAATTCCAATGGTATTTAAACTCTTCCAGAGGATATAAAAGTGAGGAATGATTCCAGATAATTTTGGCATAATCAGGATAACAGTGATAAGAAATCTTCACGAAAACAACACAAAAACTGCAGACCACACTGACTTTTGAATTGATACAAAATATCTGAAAGAAAATTAAGTTAATAAGAAACTTAATTTTTTTAAAATTGACTGTTTATCTCAAGATGTATAAGTTATCGAAAATTAGGAAATATTTTAATATAATTCATCAAATTAATAAATCATATGGGAAATGTGATGTTCTATATAGATTTTTTAAATTATGAAATCCAATAACTATTTCATGTATTTTTAAATGTCTTATAAAAATAAAGCAGAAACTGCAAGATGCTTTACTTAGGAAAAAAAGAAAGGGTAAGAAAACTCATCAACTATGTGCTCCATAAACAAACTATATTGATTTTTTTCCTGCTATTTTCCAACTCTTTAGTCTTAAGCAAAATTATAAGCATCAATATAGTATTACTGATATATAAAACTATGAAATCCCCAATTGGTAAATCTGTCTTTTCCATCTTTATTTTCTATCAGTATTTCTCTGTTGGCTTTGACTGAAAAATACTATCTTCTTAAGTCATTCTGAAGAATTGAGAGGCACTTAGTTCTAAGAAATCCCATTAAATGATGATAACTCACTTTTATTTTACTATTTTAAACAGTGATTATTATGATATGAAATATAAATAGACAACTATTTTTATTTGACATATGAACACGTAAAACAATATAAAGCATTAGTTGCATTCATTTGATTCATACTTATTTAGTATCTGCAGAACAGTTCTGGCCTTCTTGCAGCGTTTATTCTAGTAGGAAGTGGTGGAGAGCTACATGAAGTGTTAATTTAGATAAGATGATCTGAAAATGCTTCACTAATGGAACTTTGAAATTTGGAGGAGAAAAAAGACTGCACCTATACTGAAGGAAAGAGTTATCTGGCTATCTAGTAGGGGAGAAGAACATTTGGGAAAGAGGGAAGACAAGGCAGAATTGTGCTTCGCAATTTTAACAAATAGCAAGAAAGCTAATGTAGCTTGAGGACATTAGAAAGAGAGAGAGAGCTTTAGATAAAATAAAGTCAGATACATATTCAGGGGTCAATTAATGTTGGACTCATTAAACCACGGTTAAAAGTATTTGAATTTATTCCAGATGAGCTGAGGCCAAACTTATTGGAGGTGTCTGAACAGATACATGACATAATCTGATTTTTATTCGCAAAGGATCGCTCTGGATGCAGTGTGGACAATTGACTTAGAGTGTCAAAATTAGAACCATGTGAATCAGATAAACCATGTGAAACAGGTAAATCCAGTGATAGAGAATAATGGCTGAACTACAGTGGTGATGTAGGTCATGTGAAGTGGTTAGACATGAGTTTTATCTTGAGGTTAAAAAACTAAAGGATGTGCTTGTAAGATGGGTGTATGGTGAGAAAGTCAAGTCTGAGTCCAAGGAACAAGACCAAACAACTGCACAAATGTTGATGCTACTGACTTAAATGGGAGCAACAACAAAAAAAGACACTTCTGCAGGAAATTAAAAATTGGATGTGGGGCATATTCACTTTGAGATGCATTATGAGCAGATGTGAAAAAGGCAAGTTAATAAAAGAGCCTAGGCTTCAGGGTGACTGAATTCTGGTGATATTAGAACAATAATTAAGCCCTATTGAGAAAAGATTTCTAAATTATATTTCAATATCTAGAATTCATACATTTGAATCAGAACAAAAGCAAAATAATACAGTTAGCAATGACGACTAAAGTAGATAGTACTATGTATGATGATTTAGTTTGGGATATGGCTGAGCACAAATGGGAAAAATAACAACTTTCTTTTATTTAGCTTATGTTAAGAGATCAAGAAAGTTAAAACTTTTCAAACCACAAGTTTTTAAAAAATATTTAAAAGGTAAATCACTTTGAAAAATTGAAACATCACTAGTATAAGAAAATATATAACAAGGACAGAATTTGCATTAATAACATCGGGTTCATTTCCCTACTTATTCACATACTTTTGGCAAGTGACATAGTAATTGATATTTTATTCTTTTGGCTGTTTTTGTTGTTGTTGTTAGAAGTCACACACAGTTATTATTATGTGCAAAGCTACTTAATCCTAATCACCATTTTACAGACAAAGGTCTTGGGGCATAAAAAGGTAAATGAGTTTTCCAGAATCACACAATAGGTTACTAATAAAGCCAGGATTTAAACTGGCTCCACTTCATGCCCTATTCTCTATATGGTAATTGTACTGTGTTTTATGTATTTTTTATATAAATTCATTATTTTTTTAAAAAAAACCTACATTGTTTTATACTGAATTATGTTTTTCCCCATTAGACCAGGAATTATTTCAACCATGTTTTATTCACTCATGTAATCCTAGTCTTGGACCAGCATCCAGAGAAGAGTAAGTGAAGAATAGTTAAAATAACTTTTATATTCCATAAAGACATTATAAGAATTGAGTGATGCAAATATAATGAGTGATTGAATTTTGAAATTTATGGAAAATTATAATCTCAGTAATAAGAAAGTGAAAAAGTTTTCAACTTGGGAAACAATGAATACAACAAAACTGTAACTTTATATTTTTAAAATCTAGTTTCTACTTTTATGCTGATAAACCAAAATATAACTAAGTGTAAGTTAAGGGAGTTTTATAAATCTCTGTTTATACTAAACATTTTACTTTTCCAAGTACCTTTGATAATATATCATATGCATAGCATTAATGGACATCATAGTATCTTCAATTTGATATGGTTTCAAGAGTTAGAAAACTTCTAGACTTTGCTTTAAAAATGACAGGAATAGTATATGTTATTTTTCCTAATGGATTTCCCCTTCTCTTTTCATTCTTACTCAGAATATTAAAAAATGCTTTCTTAAGTGTAGTTTTGAAAATCACCTTAGTCACACATATTTTCTTTTCTTAGTCACACATATTTTATTTTCTTTTTAATTTTATCAAGAATTAAAAGTTTTAACCTCTGTCCATTCAATTCCTTGCCCCTGTGTTATCCTGCTGACAAAAAAAAAGAAAAATACTTCTTTCTAAGGTGGTCAAAGACACTTTAAATATTTAATGTGGGCATTTTCCTTGTAGGAGTATGGGTTAAGCCTTATTTCTAGAGAGTATGAATAGTTTCTCATCTATTTCTTATAATAGTTTTCTGATTCTCCATTGATGGGTGAAACATAATCTATTTAATCATTTTATAATAATCACATTTGAGATTGGCCAAAAGTTTTATCTCAAATTACTTAGACAAAATTTTTATCTCAAATTATATCTATATCTATATTCTTACCTGTATCTATGCATGAAACTACAACTGTATTTATATCATTGATATCCACATTTTTACATCTTTTGGTGCCTATGCTATTTCTGCAGAACAGTTTCCTATAAGTGAGAATACTAGGTAAGTAGCCACATTTATTTTAATATGTAAATGTTATCAAAATTGTTATGAGAAATTATTTTATCACCAAAAGCATTTGAGATTTCTTCTTTCTCCATGGACTCAATACATGCTGTATTATTATTATCATTACTATTATTATTTTACAATAGTCTTATATATGAAAAATGGTATTTCATGAATTAGTATCTATTTATTTATTCAGAAGCCTGTGTCTATTTGAACTTATTCTATCTTTTGTAAGTTCTGTGTCCATATTATTGACTCATTTTTATATAGTTTATTTTTAATAGTTAATGTTAGGAAATAATATATATAAAGGAAATATGAATCTTTGGTTATATGTGTCACATTTTCTTCTAGACTTTTAGATTTTTATATATTGAAGAGTTCATTCATTTTATATAATCTAAATTTTTAATTAAATTTGTTTTAGAAGTTTGGTGCAAAACAAGGAGACATGAAATAAAATAAGCAATAGAATTATTTTAAAGGAGGAAATACACTGTTATACTATTTGAGGAATTAGAAAACTTTAAAGAGCACTTAGGCTTAACATCCATTTTACTTTAATGGATTCTGTAATAAAACATAGCAAGGTATGAATTTTAGTCAAGCAATTTACGAGGCATAAGACTTTGGGTAAGTTATTTTACCTCTGAGCTTTTGTTTCTTCATCTTCATCCTGGTGATGATTGTAGCCCCAGTCTCAAAAGATTCCTGTAAGAGCAAATAAAATAGTAAATATCCAAAATGCTAAAGATATTTATTCAATAAAGATAAAAATTAAGAGTTTAAATATTTTGCTTAATAGCTATGAACAGGTAGAAAATGCAGTAAGTCTTCACTTAATGTCACTGATAGGTTTTTGGAAACTGTAACTTTAAGAGAAAAAACATATCATGGAACCAATGTTACCACTGGGTAGTTGATATAAACAATAGTTTAATATCTACAGCATAGTTCTGGTCAGAAAAATGTTACCATACTTTTTACAAACACCACAAATACTTCTAACATTAAACATTGAAATAAATGTGAACTATACACACATTTAAGAAAGATGAATAAAAACAAGTGAGATAATTATTTACCAAATTATGCCAGTTTAGGATCATATCTCCCAGCAGCTCAGGGCACAAGGTGAAAACCAGCCCTAGACAGGATGCCATTCCATTGCAGGGTGCACTCACACACACACATCCATGTTCACTCTCGCTGGGACCATTTAGACACACAAATTTACTTCATGTGCACATCTTTAGGATGTGGAAAGAAATAGGAATACCTTGAGTAAACACACATAGACATGGGGAAAATGTGCAAACTCCACACAAACAGTGGCACCAGCAAGGAATCAATTTTTTTTGTCAAATGTATGCAATCTTGAACAAAATGATTTTTTTTGTCAGCAACTAAAAACAGAACTCTGTATGATCCAGCAATTCTGCTACTAGCTAAATATCCAAAAGAAAGGAAATCTATATATTGAAGAGATATTTACACCCCCATGTTTATTGCAGCACTATTCACAATAGCCAAGTTGTGGACTCAACCTAAGTGTGTATCAATGGATTAATAAAGAAAATGTGGTATATCTATAAACAATGGGATATTATCCAGCCATAAAAAAGAATAAAATTCTGTCATTTGCAAAACATGGATGAAACAAGAAGACATTTTGTTAAGTGAAATAAGCCAGGCACAAGAGAACAAACATCACATGTTCTCACTCATATGTGGAATATGTGGAAGCTTATGAATAGAAGGGTGGTTACTAGAGGGTGGGTAGGGTATTGGGAAAAGGCAGATGAACAGGGTTGGTTAATGGGTATAAACATACAGTTAAATAGGAGGAATAAATTCTAGTGTTTGATAGCACAATAGAGTGACTAGCTGACAATAATTTATTGCACATTTCAAAGTACTTAGATAAAAAGATTTGAACTATTCCCAACACAAATAAATTATTCATCTTGGAGGTAATGGATATTCTAATTACCCAGATTTGATCATTACACATTTTATGCTTGTATCAAAACATCACATGTATCCCATAAATATGTGTAACTATTATGTATACATAAACTGTGTAAAAAGACTGTTAATTGGGGACCTGTTGCACAATAAAATAAAAACATTTATGTTAACAAATAACATACATACATAAAGTTATCCATAAGTGTAGTCAGTATGAAAGGTCTATCATTTGTTAGGTGGTAAAATATGAATAAATGAACATATACTAAAAATAAACATATACCATGCTCCTTATTAGAAAGATTGATATTACTTAAAAAAAATTTAACAACTTCAACTAAATTCAAACCAAAATATCAATTAAAATAAAAAATGCTTAGAAATTTAAGAAATATTTTTATATTTCTTGTGAGAGAACAACTAGAAAAGGAAACCCCAAAATAAAATATTGCAGTTGGGGGAAATAAGAAGGTATATAGATTGGGTGAGTTTGTCTATACCTAATAACCATTCAAAAATAAAAAAGGAGAAAGTTATTGTTCATTTGCCCCCAATACGTCCTAGAAAATAGAAGGAAAAATACAGCATATATTAGAAAAACAATCATAATTAGAGTACACTGACATTTTTAGAAATTTTTTTAAAAAGAAACTATGGATGAATGTGACAGAAGAAATAATATATTGTCACAGGCCAAATATGTTAGGGAGAAAGGTAAATGTCAGCAAGAATCTTCAAGATCAGGACAAGTAACGTTACCTTTAAAATGAGAGAACCTATATTGTCATGAATTTTAAATAACATACTTCTAATTCATGTCATAACATTTAATTATGTATAATTTACATAGGTAATTAGCTCTTACTTCTTTTGCCACTATCCCTAGTCTGGCTAGTCAATTTTCCTTTCTTCTGAATTATTTGGGAACATTAGTCAAATTAGTTGCATTTTATTTCCATTTAGTTTCACTGCATGTAAATCCGTATTCACAACAGAGGAGTGAGCAATAGTCAGGGGAGAAAAGCAACTGAGAGAAACAAAGATGTTCTGGATGGAGCAATTTAAAAGACTCTGCCTTCAATCTTCATTTAGCTTAATTGGGAGACTTACCAGAGAATCAAAGCCACCTGTTTGGTATAGCAGTCCCTCAAATTATAATATGTAATGCTCAAAAAATAAGACTGTTGTATTGATGTCAAATGTTTTTCTTAGATGTAACAGAATTTTTTTTACCTACTTCTGAATTATGTAAAATTATGTCTCACATTTTCTTTATAAATATTTATTTTACAACAGAATGTTTTATTTTGCTATTAAGACTTGCAGAGTAGTTCAAAACACACGACACCATTTATATATATGTTATATTTATGGTTCAAAAAAACCTAAGTCAGATCAGTAATATCTCACGGGCTGCCACAGCTTGAATTTTCTTCTAAGAAAACTGGTCTGCTGCCAATTTAAGTTGTTCAGTTAAAAAACGTCAGCAAGAAAACAAAAAGAAGTTTAAGACATTTTGCTATAAATATAGTACCCACTGTGAAAATTACTCACTCTGTCATTTGGTTTTAATTTGTTAAAAGATGTCTTCATTTTAAAAAAATTAACAACAATGAAATTAACAAATACAGATAATAACCATGCACTTATTGAGATGAACTGTATTAGTCTTAGGTTGATTACAACCAAAATGAACTGGGGCTAGACAGCATCATAATTTCTTACTAGCCTAGCTCTCTATGAGTCTCAGAGAAAAATATAAATAAGTAGTTGACATTTTAAAATTAGGCACATATTTTGCTTCTCAGTTTATACAATAATATATAATTATTCCAAAAAGCTTTTTATTTTGATCATTCCAACATGGCATTTCTGAAAAACTGTAAGAGTCTCTAATGTTGTAATACTTTCTATGAAAAAGAGATGCAAAAAGCCTGAAAAATAGAGAGTTATAATACCTGTTAGCATTTTATAGGCTTAGATAAATTCTGCAATACAAAAAAGACTGATTTATTTCATTTATTATTGGCTAAATGTCTTGGGAAGAGGCATAAGCCGTGTGCTACAGATTTAACATTCCTTGGGACAAATAGTATGACTTGCAATTATATTCCCAGAACCTCATTAGCTTATATAAGTCTCTCAGCGATTGCGTGTACTTTTCAAGACACTCAATATCCTATTTGTCCCGTTATAGTTTCTTATACAGGCTTAAAAATAACAATGGTGATTTAAAAAATGATTCACAAAATAGAAGAAAAATGATATCCTAAGATCAATAGCAGTAGTACAGATTAATAAGCCCATTGCTAAATTTTAGCCAGAGTCCTATTTATTGTTCTAAATTCAGTTGAAAATCTAGATACATACAACATTTCAGATAATGTGTAACATTTCACAAGAGTCATAATTCTGACTTATGGTTCATGCAATGTTGTTTTGAACTCAGTAAAATTATCAAAATTTTACAATTGTTGAAAAATACCACATTTCTAAATTCTTGTTATCTTTAAAAA
This sequence comes from Homo sapiens, assembly GCF_000001405.40. NCBI lineage: Eukaryota > Metazoa > Chordata > Mammalia > Primates > Hominidae > Homo > Homo sapiens. Next base: position 193,054,208 of record NC_000002.12, read on the forward strand.
CATATCATTGTGCTGAAAACATGATCTTTTTTGATGATCTCTTCTAAGACACTTTTGCACATGCAATTAGTTACATAAATAAATATTAATCAAAAGTATAACTAATTTTTTCTAAACGATTTATCATTTCATTTGTACCGATTTGGAGAAATAATTTTTCTGCTTATTCCCATGGCAGAGTGGTGTCTGACACCAAGCAGGCATTTAATAAATATTTGATAAGTAAATCCATGTTCTTGATTAATTAGGCAATTTATTCCTACAAGTGCCCGTTTATAGATTGCCAAGGAATGAATGGATCCTACTACTTGATTCAGTTTCCTCCCATCTGTGATTATCTAAATTAAGATCTAGGTTAATGTCAGATAAACTTCTCTCTCCAGGTAGTCTCACCAAAAAAATTAAAACTCCCTCTACTATGTATTGATCGGCATTGTTGTTTTTCGTAAATAGTGAGGCAATGTCAACAGGATATTCCTCATGATTCCAAATTTTCCAAAGACATAAAAAAGTAAACGAGGAAAGGGTATGAGAGCTTTTTATTTAGCTTAACAACAACAACAACAACAGAAACTTCTTTACTTACTATTATATATTTGAAGAAAGAAGGATCAATAGTTAGGGTACAAAATATGAATGAATCTATTTTTCTTTCTTAGTGTGGGTAGAAAACAAGAAATAAATTACAATTTATCCAAGGAGTTAAAAAGTTTTGTTTCAAAACAAATATTGCTTCTTTTTCAAGCTAGGAGTGGGACTTTAAAAACAAATAGTTTATACATAGATCTAGCAAGAACTTTGCTAAACCAATATAAAAGTAAGTTTAACTTAAACAGACAGCAGCAAATGTACTAATTTCTCATTTGAAGTGTCATTTGCAATATTTAAAGGAACTTCACATGTGATGGAAAAAGCAAAACACTACCATTCAGCAAGAGGGCCATGTAACTCCTGGTTGCAAAAATGGCATTCATATTATCATTATCCTTATTATTATTACAGAAAAATGGCCCTTATCCACTTCCGAGGAATTCTAACATGGATGCTCTCCAGCTTGTAAGAATTGTGCTATACATTTTTTTAAAAATGAGTAAATAAATGGATGAGGAAATAGCTCTGTTGTTTTATTACCTTGGAATCAGGGACTATAAAGAGACCTGAATTATACCACGTAAAATTATTGGAGAATAAAATGGCACAATGTGCAGTAATTTACAATCCATTTAGTATGTGTCAAGTCATAAATCTGTTCTTCAAATAGATTTCTCACTATTGGAATGAGTGTTTAATTTTAATACTTATGATTTTCCCCTGTGCTTGTCCTGTAGGAGTTGTTTTAATAAAATTTCACTGCGCTCAAAGGTATTTTTGACCTGGTCAAACCATAGCATTTTATGTATGTGGAAAAACATCACAACTTGTCAATATATTCAAACTGAGATTTTCAAAACCTGGTGTCTAAAAGGTGTACATAAATTGCACATTTGAGTTCCCTCGTTGACACTTAGCTAAGCAAAAACCCTTTTTTGTGCTTAAATGCCTACGGATGTGAAATAATCGTGTATTTAGGTGCCAAATTCAGTATCTGAGTTGATATAGTGGGCCTGTCTTCAGGAGAAGATTAAATATTCCTGTAATAGTCTTCAATATTTGCAAGGTTACTTAAAGAATGGAAACAAGTCACCATTAAACTAAAGTATTTATTTTGTTATTCTAGAAAGCTAGCTAGAATACAGTATAGTTTGATGTCTTTTACATGGTGCTGTAACACATATTTTTAACATGATGTATCTGCTCAGAGTATGTTAAGTTTCACATGGTTTTTTAGACTGTTAATATTTTTCTTCACCAAGGATATTCCAGAAATAATTGAAGCATTTTAAAGCGATGTGCTGAACAGAATCCACATAATTATGTATTTATGGTAGGTAGAGAAGAACAACACAAACTGTGAAATGTTCTACCTGCACTGCAAATAATATTCACTCTAGGTGGATAGTGGATAAATTGAGCAAAAAAGTATTTCTGTCTGACACTGTGAAAAGCTCCACAGGGACATTTTAAAGAGGGAAAAGCAAGTGAAAGTATGATTTGCTCCAGGGAAGGATTTAGTTGCCTGCAAAAGAGGTAGTACCTGAAGTATATATTTTTTTAACTTATTTTGACTAGATAGAATGAATATTTTCATTGAGCATAGCATTATGAGATCCGTTGCATAGAAATTTCCCAATTCTGTATCCAACAATTTGAAACCTATAAGGAAAATTTTGAGACGACAAAGTAGAGTCTAAAAAAAGCACCTCAGTTTTAAAAAGTGGAAAGAAGTTTACAGAAAAGAAGGGTAATTATGTGTGCGTGTCTGTGTGTGTGTGTATAACTGTGTAAACAGACTGACATGAATCCCCATTTGCTAAGCCACTCCTCTGTGTGTGCATGTGCATGTCTGTGTGTGTTCTAATGATCTTTTTCCAGGGTGAAATGAACATTTTATTCTTGATTTATTCTTTAATATATAAGAAGTTTGTCATGAGAAGACAAGTATCATTATTTGTACGTTAATGTCCAATATATAAATTATTAAACAATACATTGATCTCTTAATCACATGCTATTCAAACAACTAATAAAATTCGTGAATGTGACAATTGGATTTCACCAAATCTGAAAAATGTTGATTTAGTTAATCAAAAAAATACCTCTGAATGTTTGATTGTAATTTATATTCTGTAATATTAGACATTTTACTGTTTTGAAAACCTTAATTAACAACACTGTTACACAATGATTATAATCAATATATTTACATGAAAACCGGTTACAAAATTGTTAATGCCAAGCATTAAAAAATGTTTTTATTATCTCCTTTTAAATTTTTATTCCTACTTATATAATTACATTTCAAATTCTTACTTTATTTTTTACTACATTTTATTTTTGCTCTTAAACTTTTATTTCTGGTTTATTTGAGATAGTTATAACTAAGATTACCTAATTTATGAAATTGGAAAGATGATTGAAAATTTGTGGCCAGAGCCAGAGAACAGGTAAAGCTTTACCATTTCTTCTACCCAAGTCAATTATCCCAAAAGTAATATATTTTCCTGGTAGTTAGACATCATCCATTACATGTAAAAATGTGATATTATTTATTAAAGTTTTAAAAACTATATTTAATGCATTTCTCTTTAACAAGTTTTTGATCAACAAAAAGTTACAAAGATAATATAGAGCGTTCAAATATATCTCACATCCAATATCCCCTAATATCAACATCGCATATTTTGTAGTACTTTCTCACAACTAATGAACTAATATTGACAGATTATTAGTAACTAAATTCCAGACTTTGTATTTCATTTGTTTTACCTAATGTCCTTTTTCTCTTTCAACATCCTATCCAAGATACTGTATTTCATTTAGTTATAATGTTTCTTAAATGACCTGATATTTTTCTCGGATTTTCATTGTTTTTCATGAAGAGCTACTCAGATATGTTGTAATATGCGTATCAACTAGGGTTCCTCTGGTTTTTTTAAAAATCTTTGTGCCGGGCACAGTGGCTCATGTCTGTAATCCCAGCATTTTGGGAAGGCAAGGCGGGTGGATCACCTGAGGTCAGGAGTTCAAGATCAGCCTGGCCAACATGGTGAAACCCCGTCTCTACTAAACAAACAAAAATTAGCCAGGCGTGGCGGTGGGCACCTGTAATCCCAGCTACTCAGTAGGCTGAGACAGGAAAATCGCTTGAACCCGGGAGGCAGAGGTTGCAGTGAGCAGAGATCAGGCCACTGCACTCCAGCCTTGGCGACAGAGGAAGACTTCATCTCAAAAAAAAAAAAAAACTTTTTAGAATTTTTAATTTTTTTATAATTTTAACTTTTATTTTAGATTGTGGTGGGGAGAGGGTACATGTGCAGGTTTGTCACATGGGTATAGTGCATTATGCTGAGGTTTGAAATGTGCATGATCCTGTCACCCAGGTAGTGAGAATAGTACCCAATAGGTATTTTTTCAGTGCTTTACCCTCTTTTCCCCTCAAGGCAGTCCCCAGCATCTATTGTTCCTATCTTTATGTCCATGTGTACCCAATGTTTAGTTCCCACTTATATGTAAGAGCATCCTGTGTTTGATTTTCTTCTCCTGCATTAAGTTGCTTAGGATAATGACCTCTAATTGCATCCATGTTGCTGCAAAAGACATGATTTTTTTTTTCTTGGCTGTATAGTATGGTATATATGTACCACTTTATTTTTTAAATCCAATCCACCATTTATGGGCCCCTAGGTTTATTCCATGTCTTTGCCAGTGGGAATACTGCTATGGTAAACATATGGGTACATGTGTCTTTTTCGGCAGTATTATTTATTTTTCTTTGGGTAGATACCCTGTAATAGGATTACTGGGTCAAATGATAGTTCTGTTTTAAGTTACTTGAGAAATTTCCAAACTGCTTTCTACAGTGGCTGAACTAATTTACATTCCCACCAACAGCATATAAGTGTTCCTTATTTTGCTGATTTTGATGGGATTTCATTGAATTGTAAGATCACTTTAGAGTATGAACTTTTTAACAAGCTATTAATTCTTCTAATCCATTAATACAAGATCTCTTTCTTCCCTCTTAAAACTACTTTGGCTGTATCCCATAAGTTTGGGTATGTTATGTTTCCATTTTTATTTGTTTTAAGATTTAAAAATAATTTCCTTTAATTTCTTATTTTAACACAATAATAGTTCTGAAGCATATGGTTTATTTTCCATATATTTATTACTATTTCTTTATTTCTCTTGTTACTGATTTCTAGTTTCATATAATCATGGGCAGAGAGACACATGATATAATTTCAATTTTCTTTAATTTTGTAACACTTTTATTTGTGACCTAATATATGAGTTATCCTGGAGATAGTTCTGTGTGCAGTTGAGAATAATGCACATCCTGCTGCTGTTGGATTGTATGTTCTGTATATGCCTGTCAAATCTATTTGGTCTACAGTGTAGTTCAAATCCAGTGTATTCTTATTCATTTTATTTGAATGATCTGTCTCCTGTTGAATGAATTCTACTATTTCTGTGTTGTAGTCTATGTCTTTCTTCAGATCTATTAATGTTTTCTTTAGATATTTAGGTGCTTTAATGTTGGGGCTATACATATTTCCAGTTGTTATATTCTTTCAATAAATTGACCCCTTTATCACAATATGATGACCTCATTTATCTCTTTTTACAGTTTTTGCCCTAAAGTCTATTTTGTGTGAGCTACTCCTACTTTCTTTGGTTTCCATTAGCATGGAATATATTTTTATCCCTTTACTTTTCAGTATAAAGGTCCTTTCATGTGAGGTAAGTCTCTTGTAGGCAGCATATTGTTGGATCTTTTTTTCCTTTAATTCATTCAGCCTGTCTATGCCTTTTGATTGAATAATTAAATTTATTTGCATTCAAAGTAATTGTTGATAAGTTAGGACTTACTAGTATCCTTTTGTTAATTCTTTGCAGGTTGTTTTACTTATCTGTTTTTTCTTACTCACTTGCTTTGCTCCTTTGTGGTTTGAAGACATTCTCTGGTAAAATGCTTTCAATATTTTATTTTTGTCTTTTGTGTATGAATTATAAGCTTTTGCTTTGTGATTATTCTGAGGCTTACATATAATATCTTATACTTATAAAAGGCTATTTTAAGTTAATGACAACTCAATTTTGATACATACACAAACTTTACATACTATGGTTTTAACACACCCTCTAAAAATTGTGTTGAAACTTAAACCACAATGCAACAGTGTTGAAAGGTGGGAACTTTTTAGCAATGACTAGATCATGAGGGCTCTGCCTTCATGAATAGATTAATTTCATCATCAAAAGAGTGGGTTAGTTATCCCAAAAGTTGCCTTTGGATAAACATGTTGAGTTTAGCTCAATTTTCTCTCTCTCCATCTTGTGTGCTTTCTTCTGGTCTTTCACTTTCCATAATAGGATGACCCTCACGAGATGTTGGTGTCATAATTTTGAATTTCTTAGCTTCAAAACTGTGAAAAATAAGTTTCTTTTCTTTATCAATTATCCATTCTCAAGCAGTCTGTTACAGCAGCACAAAATAGAGTAAGAGAGAACATTTGTATCAAGAAGTGGAGTTGTTGCTATAACAAGTATTTAAAAATGAGAAAGTGGCTTTGAAACTAGGCAATCTGTGGAGAGTAGAAGAATTTGGGGGAGTGGACTAGAAAAAGCCTTTATTCTCTGAATTGAGTGTTAAATTTTATTTTTGTGGGGGCTCAGAAAAAGGGAAAAGCTGTATGGAAAATATAGAACATCTTAAAGATCACTTAAGTGGTTGTAATCAGAATATTGATAGAAATATGAACAGTAAAGGACATTCTGATGAGGTCTTTTTTTTTTTTTTTTTTTTTTTTTTTTTGAGACGGGGTCTCTCTCTGTCGCCCAGGCCGGACTTCGGACTGCAGTGGCGCAATCTCGGCTCACTGCAAGCTCCGCTTCCCGGGTTCACGCCATTCTCCTGCCTCAGCCTCCCGAGTAGCTGGGACTACAGGCGCCCGCCACCGCGCCCGAGGTATTGGAAACTTGAGGAAATGCCATCCCTGTTATAAAGTAATAAAGACCTTGGCTGAATTGTGTTCCTCCTCAAGGGCTTTATGGAATGCATAACTTAAGAGCAATGAACTAGGCTATCTGGTGGGAAAAAATATATCTAAGCAGCAAAGCATTCAGGCTGCTAGGTGGTGACACTTTATTATATATGCTGAGATGTGAAAGAGAAAAAAAAAGACAAAAGGAAATTTATAATTAAAAAAGAAGCAGAATGGAAAGATTTGAAAAGGTCACACGCTGGCTGCATCGAGTGAAAAGGCTTACTTAAGAGAGCAAACTAAGTGTGTGGACCAGTGACTGTTTGCTAAAAAGATAAACATGCATTGAAGAAATCCAAGTGCTATTCATCAAGTCAATGGGAGAAAAACCTCAAAGGCATTTCAGAAAACTTCAAGCCTTCCCCTCCCATAACACGACTAGAGCTCTAGAAAGGCAGCATTGTTTCAGGGGATGGTGATGGACCTGGTACCCTTTGTGGACTTGCTGTCCATTGCTGCCTCACAATTCTATTCCCCACATTCCAGCATAGCACTCCTGGCTACCTTAGCCATGGCTCAAGTGGACCCAGGTGCAACTTAAGCCACTACTCTAAAGGGCACAAGCAAGAGGCTTTTGTGGCATCCACAAGGTGTTGAGTCTGCATACTCACAGAATGCAAAAATTGTGGGGGCATATCTACCTTCACCTGGATTTCTAAGGATATCTCAGATAGCCTGGTGGCTGAGGCAGAAGCCTATGGCAGTGTTGGAGTTACCACAGAGATTCTGTTTTAGGACAACGGCTGGTAGAACCATAGGAGTGAGGCTGCCTCCACGATCTCAGAACGGCAGAGCCCAGTACGCATTTCCAACTGGTGAGAGCTGGAGGCATGAAACTCTAACCTGAGAGGTGCTGGGTAGACTGAGCCCAATAAAGCCAGAATGGCAGAAATTCCTAAGGACTTGGGTAACCAACCCACTCTCCAATGTGCCCAGGATACAGGACATGGAGTCAAAGGAGATTACTCTCCAACTTTAAGACTTAACGTTATTCACCGTGTTGGGTTTTGGACTTGCTCGGGACCACTTACTCCTTTCTTGCCCATATGCCCATTTTGAATTGAAAATGTATGTCTTAAGCCTATCCCACCATTGTATTTTGAAAGTAGATAACTTATTTTTATTTCACAGGCTCACATCTTGAGGGACTATGACTAAGAATGAATTATGCCATGATACTCACAATATATAACTCTGTACTTTGGACTTTTGAGTTGATGCTGAGCAAGTTAACAATGTTTAATCTATTAAGATGAAATTAATATATTTTGTATGTAAGAAATACATGACTTTTGGAAAGCCAGGGCTGAATGCTGTTGTTTAAATGCCCCCCACCACAGCAAACTTATGTTAGCCTGAGCCACATAATGAGACCCTGTCTCTATATATTTTTCTTTGATTAGCCAAAGTACAGTGGTACACATCTGTAGCCCCAGCTACTCAGGATTCTGAGGTGGGAGAATTGCTTGAGCCCAGGAGGTCAAGGCTGCAGTGAGCTGTGATTGCACCACTACACTCCAGCCTGGGTGACAAAGTGAGGCCATATGTCTAAAAGAAAAAAAAAAATTACAAATTTTGCATTATTGGCTTGTCAGCAGGAGAAGAGAGAAAGAATCATAGAGCATATTCAAATGAATAATGGCAGATATATTCCCAAGTTTGGGGAAGAAAATAGAAATCCAGATACAGGAAGCCTGAAAGACACCAAATAAGATGAATTTGCAGAGACACAGATCAAGACACATAATCAAATTGTCAAGAGCTAGACAAAGAATGAGTATTGAAAGTGCAATAAGGGAAGTTGAGGGTGCAGCAAGGGAAAAGCAAATAGTCACATACAAGGGAATCTGCAAAACTATTAGCATATTTCTCAGCAGGAATCTTGAAGGTCAGAAGGAAGTGAGATAATATATTCAAAACCCTGATAAACAAGCTGATTGAAAATACTATACACAGCAATCTTATATTTATAAAATAAGGTGCTATAAAAAATGTATCAGGAAAATAAAAACTGTATGAGTTTATCATCACTAGAACTATCTTGAAAGAAATAATAATGGGAATACTTCAAGCTGAAATAAAGACATTAATTAGTAACAGGGAAACATGAAAGTGTAAAACTCACTGGAAAAAGTAAGTACGTTATAAGATTTAAAACACTCTAATGGTACCAATTTTATCTTTAGTATTAAAGTTAATAGACAAAACTATTACAAACAGCTAAAACTATAACATTTGTTAAGCAATTAAATTATAAAAAGATATTAAGGTGTGGTATCAAAAATTAAACATGTAAGGAGGGGGAATAAAAGTGTAGTGTCTCAGTTCATTTTCTGCTGCTATCACAGAGTATCTAAGATTAGGTAATATATAAATATAAAACATTATTTCCCAAAGAGTGCAGTGGCACATTCATATTTTACTGCAGTCTCTAACTCTGGGTCTCAAGTGATCCTCCTGCCTCAGTCTCCTGAGTACCTAGGACTATGGGTATGCACCACCATGCCTAGCTAAATTTTTTTGATAGATGGTGTCTCTCTAAGTTGCCCAGGGTGGTTGCAAACTCCTGACCTCAAGCAATGCTCCCAACCCAGCCTCCCAAAGTGCTGGGATTATAGGCAGGAGCCACTATGACCACCTTGTTTTTGCTTTCTAAAATAAAATGATATTTATTTAGGAATAGGACATTGTGATAGCAATATGTGTGCCATAGTAAAAGATGTATTAAGGAAGGTAAAGGAAGACAAGGGTTTTTAAAGAGAAATGAAGATGATTGCAATTGTTTTGAGAAAATTATCTTCGGCTACAAAGATCAATAATAAGGGTGATGTCAGTCCAACTTAGGATAGGCAGTTGCTAGGCAGATGTTCTTGCAGAAGTATTTTTTTTGTGTAAAGATGAGCTTTTTGCAAGGTTATGCTTTTATTGTGATAGTTTGTGTGTTTGCAATTTTTTAAACTAAACAATAATTTGTTTTATGTGTACATAATGTGTAGTGATCAGATCAGGGTGTGTAGGGTGTCCATCATCCAACTACATACATATCTGTTAAATATAGTCTCCTTACCCTCCTACCGAATATTGGATTTTATTTTTTTACCTTTCTGTATATTTGTACCCATTAAGGAAGGTCTCTTCATCCCCCATGCACTCATCCTTTCCATTTTCTGTCATCTATCTTTCCACTCTCTACCTCCAAGTGATCAACTTTTCTAGCTTCCACATATAATTGAGAACATGTGACATTTGTCTCTTTGTAGCTGATTTATTCACTTAGATATTGACCTCCAGTTTCATCCATGTTACTGCAAAAGATGAAATTTCATTATTTTCTATGATGATAGTATTCCATTATGTATACCATATTCCCTCATCCATTCATCTGTTGATGAACACCTAGGTCAATTCCATATTTTTGCTATTGTGAATATTGTTGCGATAAACATGCAAGTGTAGATCTCCCTTTGATATATTGATTCATTTTCCTGTGGGTAGATACACAGTAGTAGTATTGTTGGTTTGAAGGGAAACTCCATTTTTGTTTTTTGGAAAAATCCCCATATTGTTTGTTATAGTGCCTATAATAGTTTACATTCCCACTAAGAATGTATAAGAATTCATTTTTCCTGGCATTCTCACCAACATCTGTTATTTTTTGTCTTTTTAATAAGAGCCATTCTGACGAATGTGAGGTGATATCTCATTGTGCTTTTGATTTGCATTTTATTGATGATGTGCATTTTTTCATAGTTTGTCCAATACTTGTACATCCTCTTTTGAAAAATGTATGTTCATGTCTTTGCTCACTTTTTAATACAGTTATTTGGTTCTTTTGACCATTGACTTGTTGAATTTCTTACATATTCTACACAGGAATCCTCTGTCACATAAACATTTTGTTAATACTTTCCCCAATTCAACAAGTTGTCTCTTCACTCTGCTGATTGTTTCATTTGCTGTGCAGAAGCTTTTTAGCTTAATATAGTCCCATTTGTCTATTTTCATTTTGGTTGCCTGTGCTTTTGAGATCTTAGTCATAAATCCTTTATCTAGCCCAATGTCCAGTAGAGTTTTCCCTAGATTTTTTTTCTAGGATATTTAGAATTTTAGATCTGATGTTTCAGTTGTTAATCCAGTTTTAGTTGATATTTTTCTTATGTTGAGAGATAGAAGTCAAATCTTATTATTTTGCATATAGCTATCCATTTTTTCCAGCACCATTTATTGAACAGGATGTACTCTCCCCAATGTAAGTTCTTGTTCACTTTATGAAGGATCAGTTGGCTGTAAATAGATGACTTTATTTCTGTGATAACTGTCCCATTTCATTGGTCAAATTGCCTGTTTTTATGCCAATACTATGCTGTTTTTGTTGCTGTAGCCTTGTGATATTCTTTCAAGTCAGCTAATGTAATGCTTCCAGCTTTGTTTTTTTTTTTACTTTTTTATTATTATTATTATACTTTAAGTTTTAGGGTACATGTGCACAATGTGCAGGTTAGTTACATATTTATACACGTGCCATGCTGGTGTGCTGCACCCATTAACTCATCATTTAGCATTAGGTGTATTTCCTAATGCTATCCCTCCCCCCTCCCCCCACCCCACAACAGTCCCCAGAGTGTGATGTTCCCCTTCCTGTGTCCATGTGTTCTCATTGTTCAATTCCCACCTATGAGTGAGAACATGCAGTGTTTGGTTTTTTGTCCTTGCGATAGTTTACTGAGAATGATGATTTCCAATTTCATCCATGTCCCTACAAAGGACACAAACTCATCCCTTTTTATGGCTGCATAGTATTCCATGGTGTATATGTGCCACATTTTCTTAATCCAGTCTATCATTGTTGGACATTTGGGTTGGTTCCAAGTCTTTGCTATTGTGAATAGTGCTGCAATAAACATACGTGTGCATGTATCTTTATAGCAGCATGATTTATAGTCCTTTGGGTATATACCCAGTAATGGGATGTCTGGGTCAAATGGTATTTCCAGTTCTAGATCCCTGAGGAATTGCCACAATGACTTCCACAATGGTTGAACTAGTTTACAGTCCCACCAACAGTGTAAAAGTGTTCCTATTTCTCCACATCCCCTCCAGCACCTGTTGTTTCCTGACTTTTTAATGATCGCCATTCTAACTGGTGTGAGATGGTATCTCATTGTGGTTTTGATTTGCATTTCTCTGATGGCCAGTGATGATGAGCATTTTTTCATGTGTCTTTTGGCTGCATAAATGTGCATATAAACAGAACCAAAGACAAAAACCACATGATTATCTCAACAGATGCAGAAAAGGCCTTTGACAAAATTCAACAACCCTTCATGCTAAAAACTCTCAATAAATTAGATATTGATGGGACGTATCTCAAAATAATAAGAGCTATCTATGACAAACCCACAGCCAACATCATACTGAATGGGCAAAAACTGGAAGCATTTCCTTTGAAAACTGGCACAAGACAGGGATGCCCTCTCTCACCACTCCTATTCAACATAATGTTGGAAGTTCTGGCCAGGGCAATTAGGCAGGAGAAGGAAGTAAAGGGTATTCAATTAGGAAAAGAGGAAGTCAAATTGTCCCTGTTTGCAGATGACATGATTGTATATCTAGAAAACCCCATTGTCTCAGCCCAAAATCTCCTTAAGCTGATAAGCAACTTCAGCAAAGTCTCAGGATACAAAATCAATGTACAAAAATCACAAGCATTCTTATACACCAACAACAGACAAACAGAGAGCCAAATCATGAGTGAACTCCCATTCACAGTTGCTTCAAAGAGAATAAAATACCTAGGAATCCAATTTACAAGGGAGGTGAAGGACCTCTTTAAGGAGAACTACAAACCACTGCTCAATGAAATAAAAGAGGATACAAAGAAGTGGAAGAACATTCCATGCTCATGGGTAGGAAGAATCAATATCGTGAAAATGGCCATACTACCCAAGGTAATTTATAGATTCAATGCCATCCCCATCAAACTACCAATTACTTTCTTCACAGAATTGGAAAAAACTACTTTAAAGTTCATATGGAACCAAAAAAGAGCCCACATTGCCAAGTCAGTCCTAAGCCAAAAGAACAAAGCTGGAGGCATCACACTACCTGACTTCAAACTATACTACAAGGCTACAGTAACCAAAACAGCATGGTACTGGTACCAAAACAGAGATATAGATCAATGCAACAGAATAGAGCCCTCAGAAATAATGCCGCATATCTACAACTATCTGATCTTTGGCAAACCTGAGAAAAACAAGCAATGGGGAAAGGATTCCCTATTTATTAAATGGTGCTGGGAAAACTGGCTAGCCATATGTAGAAAGCTGAAACTGGATCCCTTCCTTACACCTTATACAAAAATTAATTCAAGATGGATTAAAGACTTAAATGTTAGACCTAAAACCATAAAAACACTAGAAGAAAACCTAGGCATTACTATTCAGGACATAGGCATGGGCAAGGACTTCATGTCTAAAACACCAAAAGCAATGGCAACAAAAGCCAAAATTGACAAATGGGATCTCATTAAACTAAAGAGCTTCTGCACAGCAAAAGAAACTACCATCAGAGTGAACAGGCAACCTACAAAATGGGAGAAAATTTTTGCAACCTACTCATCTGACAAAGGGCTAATATCCAGAATCTACAATGAACTCAAACAAATTTACAAGAAAAAAACAAACAACCCCATCAAAAAGTGGGCAAAGGATATGAACAGCTTTGTTATTTTTTCTTTCAAAATTGATTTGGCTATTGAAGCAATTTTTGGTTCCATATGAATTTTAGAATTTTTTTCTCTAATTTTATGATGAGTAATATTGGTATTTTAATCTGGATTGCATTTAATTGGTAGATTGCTTTGGGCAGTATGACCATTTTAAGGATATTAATTCCCCCGATCCATAGCATGAAATGTTTTATTATATCATTTATTATATATTAAATATATCGTGTTTTTGTGTCTTCAATTCATTTCATCAGTATTTTGTTGTTTCTCTTGTAGAAATTTTTCACCTCCTTGATTAAGTTTATTCATAGTTTTGGGTTGTTGGTGTTGTTGCTGTTGCTATTGTAAATGAGATCACCTTCTTGATTTTTTTCCCACTAGATCATTATAGATATAAAGAAATGCTACTGATTTTTGTACACTGATTTTATATCTTGAAACTTTACTGAATTCATTTACCAAATCTAAGTATTTATTGGCAGAGTCTCTAGGTATTTTTAGATATAAGATCCTATTATCAGCAAAGAAGGATAATTTAACTTCATCATCTTTTTCAATTTGGATGCCTTTTATTTCTTTCTCTTTCTTGATTTGCTTGGCTAGGACTTCCAGTACTGTTGAATGGGAGCGCTGAAAGTGAGCATCCCTGTGTTGTTCCAGGTCTTAGAGAAAAGGCTTTTAAGTTTTCCCCAATCAGTATGATGTTCACTGTGGGTTTGTTGGATATGGCCTTTATTGTTTTGAGGTATGTTATTTCTACTTCCAGTCTGTTGAGAGCTATTATTATGAAGGGATGTTAAATTTATCAAATACTCTTCCCTCGTTTGTTGTGATGATCATATGGTTTTTGTCTTTCATTCCATTGATGTGATGATTTATATATATTGAACCCACTTTACGTCCTGGGTACAAATCCTACTTGATCATGGTGCATTATCTTTTGATGTGCTGTTACATCTGATTTGCTAGTATTTGTTGAGAATTTTTATATCTGTGTTCATCAGGAATATGGGCCTGTGGTTTTCTTTTTTTGCTCTGCTCTTGTCTTGTTTTGATATGAGGATAATGCTGGTCTCTCAAATGAGATAGAATTTCCTCTTCTTAAATTTTTTTGAAATAGTTTGAGGAGGATTGGTATTAATTCTTTATAATTTTAGTACAAATTAGCAGTAAATATATCCAGTCTTGGGCTTTTCTTTGTTGGGTTACTTTTTATTACTAATTCTGTCTTACTACTCATTGTTGGTCTGTTCAGGATTTCTATTTCTTTCCTGAATCAATCTTGGTGGGTTGTATTGTTTCTGGTAATTTATCTATTTTCTCTAGGTTTTTCAATTTGTCAATGTACAGTTGTTCATAATACTCTCTGATGATCATTCATATTTCTTTGGTAGTAGTTGTAATATCTTCTTTTTCATTTCTGATTTTTATTTATTTTGCTGTTCTCTCTTTCTTGGTTCCTCTAGCCAATAGTTTATCAATTATGTTTATCTTTTAAAAGAACCTAGAGTTTGTTTGTTAGTTCTTTTCATTACTTTATTAGTCTGGATTTAATTTAGTTATGCTCTAATTTTTATTATTTTTTTTCTTCTGCTTATTTGGGGTTTGATTTTTTTTCTTGCCCTTCTAGTTTCTTGAGGTGCACTGTTAGGTTGTTAATTTGTATTTTTTCTACTTTTTAGTGGAGACATTTATTGCTACAAACTCTCCTCTTAGCACTGTTTTTGCTGTATTCCACAGGTTTTAGTATGTTGTATTTCGATTGTTATTTTCTTTTTTTTTTTTAGTTTTATCTTCATTTCATCATTGACTCAATAGTCAATCAGGTGTATGTTGTTTAACTTTGATGTGTTGTTATAGTTTATAAATTTCTTCTTGGTATTGGTATTGACTTATATCTTTTTTTTTCCTTTGTGATCTAAGAGGATACTTAATATAATTTCCATTTTTAAATATTTATTGAGACTTGTTTTGTGGACTAACATATGGTCTATACTGGAGAATGTTCCATGGGCAGAAAAAAATAATATACATTTTGCAGTTGTTGGATACATTGCTCTGTAAATGGCTGTTAGTTTCATTTGGCTTAAAATTTAGTTTAAATCCAATGTTTCTTGGTAAATTTTCTGCCTAGATGATTTGTCTAATTCCGAGAGTGGGAAATTAAAGTCTCCCACTATTATTGTATTGCAGTCCATTGCTCTCTTTACATCTATTAAGATTTGCTTTATGGATGTGATTTATTATTTATTTCTGCTTTATGAATAATTTGCTCTGTGAATATTTAGATTTGTTACACACTCTGGCTGATTAATCTTTTTATTATTATATAAAAACCTGCTTTGTCTTTTTTTACTGTTCTTGACTTAAAGTACATTTTATCTAATGTAAGTATAGCTACTCCTGCTCAATTTTGGTTTACATGTGTGTGGAATGTCTTTTTTCATTCCTTAACTTTCAGTCTGTATGCATCTTTACTAGGAAGATGAATTTCTGGTAAACAGCATAGCTTTGGATCATGGTTTTTATTTTTTTTTATTCATTCAGCCAACCTATATTTTTTAAGTGGAAAATTTAGTCTGTTTACTTTCAAGGTTATTATTGACATATGAAGGTTTTTTTCATGTTGCATTGCTAACTGTGTTCTGGTTTTTTGATATGTATTCTTTGTATCTTTGTTTTTCTCCTTGTTAAATTTCTCATTCATATCCTGTACTGTTTTTCTGATTTTTTATATCATTTTTCATAATTCTCTTATATTTCACTGAACTTCTTTAAAATCAGTATTTTGTATTATTATGACATTTCAAAAATTTCTTTTCAATTAGGATCTAGACATAGTTTGGCTATTTATTCTCTAAGCAGCAAAGCATTCAAGAAGTAACCTGGTTGCTTTTAACATCTTATGCTGAAATGCAAGAGCAAAAGAATGACTTAAAATTGGAACTTATATTTAAAAGGGAAGCAGAGTATAAAAATTAGAAAAATTTGCAGCCTGGTCATGGGTAGAGAAAGAAAAAGCTTTCTCAGTAGAGGAATTCAAGAAGGCTGTGAAGAAACCACTTGCTAGACATATTTGTGTAACTAAAAGGGAGTCAACTGGTAATATTCAAGACAGTGGGAAAAGGGCCTGAAATGCATTTTGGAGACCTTCACAGCAACCCTTGCCATTACAGTCCAAGAGGTCTAGAAGGAAAGAATGGCTTTGGGGGCCAAGCCCAGGGCCCCACTGCCCTGCACAGCCTCAGGATACTACTCCTTGCATCCTAGCCACTGCAGTTCCAGCCTCTGTTCAGAGGGTTCCAGATAAAGCTTGGGCTACTGCTTCAGAAGTTTCGAGCTATAAGCCTTGGTGGCTTCCACATGGTGTTAAGCCTGCAGACACACAGAATGCAAAAGTGAAGGAGTCTGAGGAACGTTTCCCTAGATTTCAGAGGATGTATGGAAAAGCCAGGTGTCCAGGCAGATCCCTGCTGCAGGGGTGGAGCCCTCTCAGAGAACTTCTACTAGGGCAGTGTGGAGTGGAAATGTAGGGCTGGGGGCCTCACGCAGAGTCCCCCCCACTGGGGCACTGCCTAGTGGAGCTGTGAGAAGGGGGCCAGTGTCTTCCAGACTCAAGAATGCTATATCCTAGCAGCTTGCACACTGCATCTGGAAAAGTCAAAAGCATTCAACTCCAGCCCCTCAGAGAAGCCTCAGGGGCTAAACCCTGAAAAGCCACAGGAGTTTGCACCAGTGTGCCTGGGATGTGGGACATGGTGTAAAAGGATATTATTTTGGAGTTTTACAATTTAATAACTACCCTACTGGTTTCACAACTGCATGGGGCCCATAGTCCCTTTCTTTTGGCCAATTTCTCCCTCTTGAAATAGAAATATTCACCCAGTGTCTGTACCCCCATTACATCTTAGAAGTAACCAGTTTATTTGTGATTTTACAGACTCATAGGCATAAATAAATTTCCTTGTCTCTCTCAGGTAAAACCTTGGACTTTTGAGTTAATGCTGAATTGAGTTAAGACTTATAGGGGAATGTTGGGAAGGCAAGATTGTATTTTGCAATGTGAAAAGGACATAAGATTAGGGAGGGGTCAAGAGTAGAATGACATGGTTTGAATATTTATCCTACCCAAATCTTATGTTGAATTGTAATTCCCAACACTAGAGGTGGGGCTTGGTGAAAGATGTTTGGATCTTGGGGGTGGATCCCTCATGGTTTGGTGCTTTCTTTGTGATAGTGGATTCTCACAATATCTGGTCATTTTAAAGCATGTAGCACCTCCCCTTTCCTATTCTCCCTCTCTTACTCCTGCTTTTTCTATGTGATGCCCCCTTCCGCCTTTCCCTTCTTCTGTGATTGTACACTTCCTGATGCCTCCCTAGAAGCCAACCAGATGCCAGCACCATGCTTCCTGTAAAGCCTGCAGAACTACAAATCAATTACATCTTTTTTCTTTGTAAATTACCGCATCTCAGGTATTTCCTTATAGTGATGCAAGAATGACTTAATACACATCTGTTGTTGAAAGATTATTGTGTTCCTTTGGAAGTACACTATTTTCTTGCTTGTTAATGCTCTCTGTGTCTTTATGTTGACATCTGTGCATATGGTGTAAGAGTTGCTTCTTCTTATTTTTCAATTTATTTTAATCAGGGAGGACTTTTTCTTCCTGAAGGAAATGTATCCATGAAGATGTATCCATGGAAGTTTTTGGGTAGGGTACTTTGGCTTTGATTCTCTGCGTATGCAGTACTATGGTCTCTGTATTATTTCTTTGGCTGTAAACAGTGTAAGTGGTATAAGTGATTTCCTTGGTAGGTTACAGGGCAGTTATTAGTGGAGGTTGTGGTAAGGTTGTGCTGGGGACTGGGAAGCCAGGTGGCTCAGTTTTCAGGCCCCAGTAGTGGCAGCAAAGGGCTAATTGTGCCTACCTTTGTGCCTCAAGGCAGTGTACACTGGTACCTCTGTTGGGAGTTACCAGTGGGCCGATCTTTGGTCTTGCAGGGGAGTTACTTGGGTGCTGGTAGTGGCAACAGAGCACTAGGTGGATAAGCAGATTCTTGCATCCCTGGGTAGCTGGTGTGGCATGTGCAATTGCAATAGCAGTGGCAGAACAATTCTTAGGGGCCCAAGCATTTTGTGTTGTCGACAGTGGTTGCAATGGGCTAGTCAGGTCAGCCTCCAGGCCCACAGGTGGTGCTTGGCGATTGATGCCAGCTGAGGTGGTAGTGGCTAGGAGTTTATGCCTACCCTCAAGAGGAGTGCTCAGGTGCTGGAGCCCCCAGGAGGAGTGCTGAGGCACTGAAGGTGGTGGATTGGTTTGGACAATGAGGGGATGAAGCTGGGCTGGGCAGCTTGTGCTCAGTCATCCCAGTGGTGAGAGCAGGTATCTACCATGGTGGGTGGGGTCGGGGGGGACAATCCTCAGGCTGCAGGCAGAATGCTCAGGTGAGGAGCAGTAGAAGCTGTTCTGGAGCTCTGCCACAAAAGAGTTGGCGGCTATCTTCAGTAGCCAAAGCCTGGGCCAGTGGGTGGGAACTGTTCATTCCTCCCATGCCCCAGTCCTGTCAGGGCTTCCCTCTAGCCCTTTAGTGGTGGCCAACACTTAACTTGTAACCACACCCTGGCTATAGGAGCTCCATCAGCTAGAGGCCAAGTCTCAGTGGCAACTTGCACTCTACTTGCATCCCAGTCTCCATCCCAGTGGCACTTATATCCTGGTACCAGCTATTGAAGCCCAGCCCTTCTTGCTTTTTTGCCCCAGCTGTGGGGGCACTCCCAGCTGACAGCATAAGTTTCCCTGAGACCTCAGACCTGATGCCACTGGGCCCCAAGACAGTGTGTATTCTGCCAGAAGCTAAGTTTAAAACTGGTGCCTTGCAGTAACTGCTTTGTTCTCAGAAATGTTGTGGGACTAAGTGCAAGCTCTTTCTCTGGAGCAATTTCATCCCATGGTGTCTTAGCATCTCCCAAAGTTAATTTCAGAATTTAGGAGAGCCACAGGGTTTTCTTGTGGCCAGAGCTGCACAATTCCACAGTGGGGATGTCAGCCACTTGAAGTCTTTCACTTATCTTTTCACCATATTGGAAAGTCACTCCTAGCTCCCAGCCCATCCCACCCAGGTATCTTTCCCTACTTTTGGTGTTTCCTGTCACTTTTCTGTTGTTCTCTCTTGGATAATGTATTTGAAATGTGACCGTCTATACACTATTTTGGTCCAAGTGGAGGAGGTTGGCATTAAATGCTTCTAGTCAGCCGCCTTGAAGCCCCTTTCCCTGCTTTTGTATATCATTTGATTTGTTTACTATTTTTACGTAAGTCCCTTATGTTATTATATTTTTTTCTTTTTGCTCTTCAAATTGGCTGCTTTTCAGGAATGTGCCTCTCAAATCTGTGTTTGTTCAGACTGCTGTCTCTGTTTTTGGTAGTCCCTTGGAGATTAGGATGTTCCACGTCCTGTCAGTACCCTGCAATCAGTGAAGTAGAAGGTAGAACTCTCTAGATGTAGATGAAAAGATTAAAATGTTTAATATTTGTTCCAGTCCCTTCTATTTTCATGTTGAAGCTAAGTTTGAGTGTTATTCTCCCATTTTCTCTAAACTAGGCTGGGGAGAGATTCTGTGCCAAATGCCTGTGCTAGGTTTCAGGCTGCACCCTCTGGTCCTGGGGAGAGAGCTGCTGGAAAGGAACCCATTGTATGTCTACCTCTTTGTATCCTGTGGTTGAGAGAGAATCAGGAATGTAGTTGTGATACACAGCATATATACAAACTACTCCCAGAAAGAATGAGTAGACTTGGATTTATTGTTGGGGTGAGCTAGAGGAAAGACTTAGTATGTACCAAGTTTCTGCTCAGGCTGTATAAGAGCTACGGCTTTTCTGCCCTGTTAGATCCCCTGATGCAATTTAGAGTCCAATTTATCAAGAATCTACTAGGAGGTAATGCAGCAAAACCCTTCTGGAGATAAAATGGAAGCTTCATATTCCAGCCCCCTTTCTGCACTGCTCTCAGGGAGTCTAGACCCTGGAGGTGTTTGCACACTTATTTAAAATCACCTTTTTGTTCTGTAGTCTAGGAAGACTCACATATGCCTAGACCCTTCTGCTCCCAGAGCAAGACATTTTGGGATGCAGTCCCTTGGGTAAATGCTGTAACTGTTGGGGCACTTTATGCATGGTCAAATTCCTCCAGGAGGAATTGGTAGACATGAAGTTATTGTTGAAGTGAGCTGCGGCAAATGGCTCAGGAAGTGATGAGCTGCCAGTGGGCTGCTTTTGACTGTCCCTTGAAGTCCTTGATGCAAGTTAGTTAGAAGCCAGGCTGTCAAGTAGCTACTGGAAGAGTGCCATGGTAAACCCCTTCTGGAAAGAAACAGGGAGAGTCACTTTGTAAATATTTTATCTGCATTTCTTCCAGGGAAGGTAGCCACTAAAAGTAGTTGCACATCTGTTTAAAACTACCTCTTTGTTCTGTGATATATGGAGACTGAACATGGCTAGTCCCCTCCTCTTCCAGGGTTAGGAAGTTTAGGTTTAGGTTTAGGTTTAGGTTTAGGTTTAGGTTTAGGTTTAGGATGCAGTCCCTTGGGCTGAAGTTGTAAAGATTGTAGTAGTCAGTGTACGAACAAACTCTTATGTACTCTAATGGGATCCTAACTTATACAGCTAATAACATATTAGGGTAATATGGCTTTAGCCGTGACAGCCCTCCTAAGCCTTGAGATGGGCATCTTATAAGTCAAATACTATTAACATTACAGGACACATAGGACTAAAGATCCCTCTAAGAAAATTTTAGATACTTATGCTTGAAGAGTAGTAGTACATACTGAATAGGAAAAAAAAAGCCCAATTTTTAAATAAATTGTATTATATTATTTTTTTTCAAAAGGAGAATCTCAACTTCCCTTTGTATACATTGCTTTTAATTTAGAATAATTAAAGGGTTATGAATGTAGAAATAGGCAAGTACAGATTGGAGAAGAGACAAATGTATTAGTCAATATCACAATATTGTAAACTGTAGAGATCTTTATTTAAAATAAAGGGGGTCAGCTTTTTTCTTGTTTTAAAGACAACCTGAAATAGCTTTTTATGTAATGTAACATGATTACTGATGACTTATTTCTTAAGTTAATAGGAATGCACTCTCCTGGCAGCTTCAAATTGCTGTCATATACAAATGTTTTTAGCTCTTTCCTTTCATGCCATTATGTTTATGCACCTTCAGCAGACTGTGGTACTTTGTGCTTATTTAGTTTTCTTAAGTGGCCCTTAATTAACAAATGGTTTGACATTTCTTCTGTAAAGTGAGATTTAAGCCAATATTTTTAATGAATTTATGCTTGAAAATAGCACTTCAGAGAGGAATATTGTAAAGCTGTTATTATTTAATACTATGATTGGTGATCTCTAAATAGACCTTTGATGTTACCAATGCATATTTTTATGATCAGAAAGCATAGTATTAGAAAACTCTAAGAAGCAGAGTAATTGGAATAAAAAAAGATGAGATAATGTGATGTTCAAAAGAGATCCTGTCTTGCTCAAAAACTGAATTAAAATGTTTTCTCTAAATAAATTAATACCAGCTATATTTGTAAGAAAGAGATTCATATAGTAAATAATTATTATATAGATCCTCCCTTTCTTGCTTCGAGAAAAATAAGCAAACTACTGCATAGAAAAAGTTTTTTAGATGAGACCATCTTTTTGCCCTGTCAGAATCTTTTATAGTAGTTATACCAATCTTTTATTACTCAGTAACAATAGGCTTCAGAAACAAATTAGTCCAATCTCCTGGTCCTTTAAACAGAGTGACTATTTATCTGAAATTTTAAGAATTGAAGCCTAGAAAACAGCTGATTTTTGGAATTGTGGGAACAAAATATCTGGATGGTGGGGTGAATATTTCGATTCAATCACAGATCTTAGGGACCTGAGTGCCATGGATACTGGAGTGAAATTCAGAGATAAGGATGTGTTCAGTATTTTTCTTTCTATATTCAAGGTAAGCAAGCAATAAACAAATAAACAATGACAACCAGTACACCATACAGTAATTCATCATCAATGAAGAACTGCAATGTTCACATGAGATTTATTTATTACACTAGTAAACCTGGTGACTAGCATTTAGGGTTATTATTTTAATAGATTAATTAATTAATTAATTAATTAATCATTCCTTTAGTCAAAGTGTAGCAGTACCTCCCCTTTACCAGCAAACAAGTATTCATTTAGTTTGCTTTGTACTCTTTCTTCAAAAAGTCATCAAATAAAACATACAAAGTCCTTTACATTTGAAGATAGAGATGTAAACTTTATATAAAGTTTTATTACTATGATCATCAGGTTTTCTACAGATTTATGTGTCTGTGGTCTTGCTCACATTCTTAGTCTATCTGCATCCTAATTGGGTTCATATTATGCTCTACAGTAGGTATAACTAAAAGGGATGAGATTTGTTTTTAACTCAAGTAGTTGGGAAAAAAATGTCCTTGGTTTTTTTAACATTTCAAAATTTTACTGCTAAGTAACTTTTATAGTTGACATTAATTAAGTCTTTTCCCCATTTTTTTCTGACTCATCAAAGACAATGCAGGTTTTGGCATGCTTCTCACTAGTGGTGATTTGTGTAGTCATTTATATATGTACCTAAAGATTTTTTTGTACCTGTCTGAATTTTATGATTCAGAGTGTCCTTGAAGATGGTTCCTTAATTAAATAATGCTAATTTATGATTTTATAACTTTAACTTATCCATAACTTTATCTACCATTTATTATGTACATATTTCATATGGTTAACTATTATAAAATGAAATAACAAAAGTCTTCGCAAACACATAGCTCCAGGTCTTTTCCTGAAAATTTTACCATTTGACAGTGTTTCCACAGCATTAAAAATCAGTTCACCATTTGCTGAACTATGTAACAGGAGACTACATTCAACTAGGTACCCTTAAATGTACTTTCCACACCTACGTTACATGAAAGAGGAGAACTGCTATGCATCATTACTATGCTTATTATCTTTTCAAATCATTAGTCATAGTAAAGGAATATTTATCAGAGTATAACCAGAATAATAATGTAATTTATTACTTAGGCTATAGATATCTAAGGAGCTATTCTTTAGTTTCATATATATTTGTAAACCTAATTGTAATTCACAGAGAAATATCTGCAGTATGGTTTTGAAGTATGGTAATGGAAATGTTTACTTCTAAAACTGGATTCATTTTAGTATCTCAAAATTGGATTGTGTAATGGGTTTTTGAGTTCTGTTATTTCCTTACTTTCCTGCCACTTTAATGCATGAGCCCTAAATTGAGGATTGTATCTTTGTGTTTAAATGCTTTAAGATTGGTAATAATAGAAGTGGTTTGTATACACTTCTTAAAAAGAGAAAAACTTGTCATAGGTAGTATACTTACTTGACGTGCCTCCATTGATTATTTTTTGTGAATATTCACATAAAATATGGTATGCACTTCATGTCTTGCATATTGATCAGATTAGCTTTATAGAAAACTGATATGCATAAAGTTTTAAGTTAGTCTTTAATATTCATCATAGAAGAGAAGCAATAAAATCCAAAGTTTGAAACTTTAAGAATATTTTGTTAGTCTATAAAATGCAAATTTTCATATTTTAAATATATCTAATTTTCTTTGTTTAAGTCCTCATATTTCTTGAACTCTTATCTTTTAAAGAGTTGTATTAATCCTTACATAGTTTTAAAACTTATTACAGGACCAGTTAAATAAGATACCAGACAGATTATTTAATTAATTTTATTTAAGAGGCAAGATAAGTTACCATCATATAAACAGAGTCTGACGCTAAATCTACAAATAAAGTAATATTTACATCATTATTAAATGTCAAGTGGAGAAGGCCTTTGTCAAAAAATATGCTTCTACCTGCCCTGATAGTCTCCAAAATTCATCATGAAAAAGAGATACCCATTTAAAATAATTATAAAATCAAATATTTTACTTAATGCTATATAATGGTTGGTAATAATTCTATATGACTTTCTAGTACTTACCTTGTTTTTTGAATAAGTCTAATAAGCTAGAGCCATAAACTATATTAAACATAGAGGCATATCATGGATAACATTATAAAATGTTAAAATATTATTTCTGAAGTCTCACAGAAAGAAATTCACAAAACAGCAAGTTTTCCAGGTCTGATATTATATTTTAGCCTCTTTACAAGTTAATAAGTTATGCTGTTAGTATCATAGATGCTGGAAGAAGACAAAAGGCTCCAAGTTCAGAGACAAATGATTATAAATATTCACAGCATAGGCAGTACCAGGTAAATGAGCATGTTTGTATCAGTTTGGTTCCCTGAAAGTCCCAAAGGGAGAAAGCAATATGGATTCAAATAAACACTGCATCTGCACTGAGTTTGTATTACAGCTGAAGAGTACTGAGCTTTGGGAATTCATCACTTTTATAGTTAGGAGGAAGCAAGCTTGCTCTTTGTCCCAGAGGGAGATGTTACCTTATTCCTCAAGGTTGCTCACTGGGAATTCAGACCTGAGAAATGAACCAGGTAAAGAGTTGTCTGGGACTTGCATTCCAGGCACATACAGTAAGATATGCAGAAGCATGAAAGATCTATGAAGAAATATCTCATTTTGGTCAACAATAAATTGCATATATAATGGTGGTCCCACGAAATTATAATATTGTATTTTTACTATACATTTTCTATGTTTAGATATGTTTGCAAACATAAATACTACCATAGTATTACAATTGTCTATGATATTCAGCACAGTAACATGCTATACAGTTGTGTAGCCTAGGAGTAATAGGCCATAGTTCAGTCATGAAGTGACACATGACTATCATATATATGATAGTTTCAAGAAATCAACCACATACATTTAGTAAATAATTATAATTTTCTTCTATGTGGAGAGAGATCCTACTATATGGACAATGTAAAACTAATTTGTCATCATGTCTTCACTGATCTATGCTCCCTAATGGGGTAACAAAAAGGGATGATGTTGATTCCTTCATTCTGGCAGTTGGTGAGGAATAATTTGCTAACCTTTTAAATATTGAACATTTTTACAGGTAGAACATTAACTAGGTTTTTCCCTATTTTTTTCCAAATGATCTTTTGAAATTGCTTTTACAATCAAATATAAGCTATACACACACAAATAATATTTATTGCTTTTTGTCAGCATATATTATTTTTAATTAGACAACCTCTGTATGCTTGATTATCTGCATTATTTACCAATTATGTCTTGGGATGTCTCCAAAAAAAAGTCCCAAGAAAAAAACCACTTTATGCCACTATTAAAATGCATTTTTAACACAATTTAAAAGTTGAATTCCAAGAATATTTGGAGGAGGCATCATTAACTCAAGAGCATATATTTCAAAGAGTCTATAGGTAGAAGACTAGCCAAGAATATGTACAGAATATTTAACGTTTTAAAAATAACATGCATATTGTATTTAAACATTAAAAAGATTTAAAAATCAACATGACATTTATGATACAAAATAGGTATTTGATATGTGAATTATTTCAGAACATAATATTGATCTAGATATATTAAAACCTTTGGTCAGTTCTAACCCAAAATTATGCCTTTGACTCACACAATTTTAGACCTAAAGGGAGTTATGAAAACACAGTTTATATTCACATATTATAAGAACAAACTAGAGTTGTTAAAATGGCTTATTTATGGTAAAGTAGTAAATTAGAAGCAAAACTGGAAACTGTTTTTTTTTAAATATTGCAGTCTGGACCTTTACCTGGGCATGACATTCGCTTGATTTGTAAAAAGATATCAAAATCTCAACTAGAAAGAACAGAGAAAATATTGATTCAATAAGATTAAGTTAATTGAAATAATTATACTGCTGATAATATTGACAATTATTTATGAAGAGCTTACTATATGATAAACAGTATTCTAAACAATTTGTATTTAAAACTGATTTAATTTGTACAACAATTAATGTACTTATTAGTCATGTGAGTAATGGGAAGCCAAACAGATTTAACTAATTTTTCCAAGAGTATCCATGCAATAAATGATTGAGTAACCATTTTATGCAAATAGCTTGACTTCAGAACAAGTATTCTCAACCATTAAAGCATGTGTTAATGGACAAGCTAAGACACAGGCAAAATGTCAGAAAATTAATTTTTCACTTTCTATGCATGTTGTGTTTTATCCACCCTAACACAAGAAGTGAAGATGGACAGAAGTTGAGGCCTACAAATTTTTCCCTCTTTCAAAACTCCTAAACAGTGCAATTGTTCCTAGATCTGGTCACACGAATTAGGAGGGATGACTATAGAAAAATATTGTCGTAGATCCAAAATAATATGCTCAAATTGCATCATCTGTCTTTGAAAGTCTAAAGAACATTATTAGGAACCATAATGTGATGGGAAATAGGTAATCAGAAAGCTAGGATCATAAAATAGGATGATATTAATCCTAAATTAATTTATGTTTTGTTATGTATCCAAGCCTAGGTGTCTTCCAGCATTGGAAGACATTGTTATGTACTCCTGCCTGTGAAAAATACAGCTCATTTCTAGCATGTACTTTAAAATAATTTTTCTTCTCTAGATAAGCTCTTGTGCCTACTTTCCCCAATTCCTAACTGTGTTTATTGATCATAGAGCAGAGGCATGATGAAATGTTACTGAGAAATGATGCATCATTTTTAATGACCAGGTCAGGTGTGTCTTTGGACTTTTTCCCACCTCCAATGCCTGGCCCTTCTCCTTGGCCTCCATCAGTAACTCCCTTGTGTACATTATTTTGGAAAACACATCTAAATCATACCAAAGACATAAGATGCTTCTAATTTGGCCTTATGCTGACTTACGGTGCTGGCAGAGGAAAACCACTTACCCACTTTCTTTTAGTTGTGTAAAAAGGGATAAAAACTTAAGTTATTGAGTGTAATGATTAGTTAATGCCTCTCAAGCACTAAAGAAGTTCTAAAATGTACTGAATGATGGAAGAATAGAAATTTGTGGACACAGCAGTTCAATTCTCCACCAGCACTTTAAGCAATAAATACAATATTACAGATCTCATTCCTTTCTAGCATTTGGCGTTCCCAGGAGATAATGCTTTACTTACACAAAAGCTATTAAGACTAAGTCATGCATTTACACTTTTGTCAATAGTTTTATTGGAAGATTCTTTATACTATATTTGCATTTGGGGTATAGTAGAAGTTTTGATTTTGCTATAGAGTTATATAGTAATTACAGCTACATTATCTTTGTAGAACAGTGTTTTATGAGAAAAGATAGCAAAAATGATAAAAACTGCACACTGTTATGAGATTGTCTCCTTTTATTATCATTGTAGAAGGGATGTGTAAAATTTCTAAAATACAATTTCTTTAAAATTTGTCCTACAAAACTTATATCAATTGCTTAATATGTAAAGAAAGCATTTTTAATTCAGATCTGTTAGTTGAGTAGCAAGTGAATACTAGCCAATAGGGATGCAAGTTTATTACACACTAGAACATTGGATGCTTTATTTAAAAAGTATTATTCATTTGATTGCACTTAACACTTTTGGAATGTGGTCACTTTTAGATTGCTGAGAATAAAGTATTTTTATATTTTACCCTGAGGAGTTACAAACATTATGAGGTACACTGTATTGCAGCATATTCTGTAACTCATTGTGATGCGAAACTGCTGAATTTTTTAAAGGAAGTAAATTACTTTTTAAATGCCACTTACTTTACATTCTTACTGATAGATAACACAGCATATATTGACTATTTTGGGTTAATTTCTTTTCTTATTTCACCAGTTGGTCTTAGACATTTTTTCCCCTTAATATGTTTCCTGAATTATCCTGGTTTTCACAGAGAATACATGGCAAAAATGGCTGTTAAGTTGTTTAAATCAAATGTTGCTCTTTCTTCATAGAATTATGCACTTTCTTTCTGTATGTATATGTTCTTTCTTTTGGTTTGTATACACCATAATCCCATTGAATAATTTTAATTACATATTCACCTTTGCAGAATCTTCACCACTCAAAAGACATTCTATTAATCTAAAATGATTCATGTATGATAGTGATCTTAGAATTACTTAACACTTTATTAATGATATACTTGCTAAGATTTTTCACACTATATTCTAAAAGAATGCATATGTAATTGCATTATGTCTTTTATGATTTTATCATCACATTTTGTGAAACCAAGAACCACATATAGAAATTAACACAAAAGAGTATATTAAAGAAAATAAAGATCACCTGCAATAATAGTTCTTAAAATCTAATATTTTCATTTTGATATATGCTTCTGTTAAATTATATGTATCTGTATGTATATACAGATACAAGAAAAATACCTTATTATTAAATAAAAAGCATATGTTTTATATGCTTAATTTTCACTTGTTTTTTAATTTAAATATATGCCCTATATATGTATATCATAACAATAAATGTTATCATTTAAAAAATCTTTTAAAGACTGCTTATTTCATAATTGCTACACATATATGATAATGAGTTTAAGAAATCCATGATTTTAATTAAGGTTGTTTACTTTTTCTTATTATTAATTTTTTATCAGAATATACTTGTTTTGTATATATCTACACACTGATTATTTTAGAATTAATTTGTAAGCGTAAAATTGATGTGTCAAATAATTTTCTCACTTGAAATTTGGTACATAGGACCGAAGCAATTTTAAAATGTGTAGAAATCTCATACATGACCAATATGACCAATGCAGTATATTACCCATCTTGTAAGCAATTTCTAATATATTTTTCAATATATTCAGTTATCCTACTAAAACATAATTGCCTGCTATTTTTTTCAATTACACTACCTTGATAAGCAATAAGAAATATCGTATTTTTATATTATTGGTTCTTGGAATTCCTCATTTGGTGACACTTTCGCAAGTTGTTTGTCCATTTCTCTATCGAGATGCTCATCATTTTCTTGTTATGCACATAAATTACCTGTTATGAAATTATTCTAAAGAAGAAATGAAATAATATACATAGATGACAAAGGACACCATATACTCATTAGAATGAAAGTAATCAGGTTTAGTCATGTTTGCTAATAAAGAATACTTCTGCATTCCTCTCCAATCTATTTTACTCTCTCCATCTACAGAGATGAATAATTTTTAAAATTTAGTCCGTATTACCTCTACTATGATTTTAACATCTATTACATATATAATATTACATATATGCATATATATTACATATATAGTATTTTCCAAGAATGTTCCCTCCTATAACAAGTACTGACTAAAGATTACTACTTTCAAACGTCAAAATTTTGTTTCTCACATTACAGCCCAATGTACATTGTTGAGGAACTCTGCTCAATAGGCAGGAACACAAGCTCCTTTTAGTTAATAGTTCTGCCATCTCTAAGGACACCAAAATCCTCCATCAATCCCTCTACATTGGACAGAGGCAAGAGAAAAAAACAACCGTGATAAGTCTCTTCATGGGCAGTGTTAATGACCAGTCTGGAAGTTGTGTACATCATTTTGGCCCACATTTAAATGTCAGAACTCAATTGTTTGATGCCACCTTGATGCAAAATGATTCAGAAAGGCTAAGGTGCAGGCAAAAAGACAAAAAAAGGATTTGGTGAATATTAAGCTAGTTTCTCACATTTACATTCACTATTAAACAAATTTGAACTGCATTTTTAAAAAGCAATAAATGAATTGTGTCTTGCAGGAGACTTCTACTTTTGAACTAGGAACCTGGAGCACTATAGAGGCAAAAGATACAAGTAGGGAATGATTATTTTTAATGGAATATGAAGAGAAAAAAAAATTTTTAACCAAATTTTCTCATCTCTTTAATTTTGCTCAGGATCAATTATTTCTCCATTTTGATACATTTCCATATTCTAAATGTGTGTGTGTGTGTGTTTATTTCAGGGCAGATATTGAAAGAATGGCAAAAAGAAAGAGTCGAAGGCTCCTGCAGCACTAAGGTTATTGTTTTGTCTATTCTTACTGCTTTTGCCGGGTATTATGGACTTGCACTACTTAGGGCCCCTCCAGCTCTTCATGTACCCCTTATCATTAAGTTAGCTGCCGTCTTTCTCTGTTACTTTCCTATCTAATGGCCTCATTACCTATTAAATTTCAGTTATGTTTTACTTACGTAAAGAAGCCTTTGACACCTCTGACTAGATAAAGCTTATTTGCTATTCCCGTGGTACTTTAAAAATATTTCCTCATATTCAACACACTTCTGGTTATTGGTAAAAGAATGATTTATCCACTTACACATCTCATGAGGGCAAAGACCATGTGAGTCCCTTTTATCACTATATCACTAATGACCACATAGTAGGCAGAACATTAATAAATATTCAATTGAATTAAAATTCTATTAAAATTGATTGGATTAAAACAGCTGTTATATGTAAACAAAAAATGCTGTGATGGTATTTTAAAATAAAGTTATAAACATATATTCTATAAGCCACTCATATAAAGAAAAATTGCTGTTCTTTCAGATCATACCTGCTAGCTGCTAATGATTATTTTTTAATCCTGTTCATGGAAAACGAGGATAAAGCAAATTATAGAAATAGGTAGAGAATGAAAATGATAGAAATTTCATTTTCTATAGAAAATATAGAAAATTATTCTTCAGAATATTATTACAACTGAAAAGATAAGAGAATAAAGAGATATCGAAGATAGGAATAAAAAAAGAAAAATAAAAATGAATTTTTTTGATTTTTCTTTTTTCTTGGATCCAATTCGTAAGGTGATCTACATGCAGCAGTGTGGACCTAGCTTTTACTAGCTCACAAAACCTGACAGTTTAATTTGCAGAAACATTGTGAGCAAGTTATTAAACACAGCCATTACAAAAATAAAATCACATAAATTTACAATTAATGTTAAGGCTAAAAGAGATTTTACCTTAATTAATATAATTTGTAGAATTTAATAATAGTGGAATGACAAATCACATATCAGTTTAATGACAATGAACTTATTAGGAGTATTAATTTATTGGGACGCATCTCCGCTGGTCAAATAACAGTTTTATTGCAACCATAGGTTGGTTATGGATATGGTTTGGCAAAATTTAACAAAAAATTATTTTCACTCTGTGGAAAGAAAAATTTTTAATCAAAAAAATAAAATGAACAATATCTGATACGTATAACACGGTGTATCTGCTAATATGCATGACTTATGTAATCAATTTATGACTTTGTTAACAGCTGCAATTACAAGTTTGTAAATCATATAAGCAGTGCATATTAACAGAGATGGAATATGGGAGCTTCTTATTAGCAATTTGTATGTTCACCTATGCATTTGTTTTGAAGAATATAGACAAATATTGAATGGCACTGCATTTCACATTAGTGGGAAAATTACTAGCAAAATATAATAACAATTAAAATGAAGTCTGCCAGAAAAGTATTAAAATATTGAATAAATTATTGAATTGCAGAATGCTTGATTATAAGCATAAGACCTTAAACAATATTGAGTTTATATTAAATAAAACATAAGGATTCTTTTAGTAGCTTCTCTTAAAACATGTTAAGGGTATTTCTTCAGGTGAAAATAAAATAAAATAAGATGGACATTCAGATGTTCAGAAAGAAATGAAGAGCAGAAATAATGTTAAATATGTGGGCAAAATAAAACTGTTTTCATTTCTATAAAATATATATGACTAAGAATAAAATGAATATTGTACTGTGAGAAATATACTGTACACATATTTAATACATACAAAAACTCTAGAATAAAAGATGACAAACAGATTAATAGGCCTATAGAATACAAAAGGTTTTAAACTTTACATAAACTGGAACAATATTAACTATAGATTAGTTATAAAAAATCTAGAATGTTTACTTTAATCCCTAAATTAGCCATTAAAATATTAGTACAAGGATATATACAGCTGAATCCCAATAGTTAAAAATTTGATTCTAAAAACAACAGAGAAGAGTAGAAAATGAAAAACAAAGAAACACAAATTAGAGGAAATAAACAGAAAATAAACAACAAAATAATAGATCTAAATCCAAGCACATCAAAAGTTATATTATGTGTTAATGAATTAAACATGCAAATGAAACATCAAAAGACAGACATTTAGTAATTTTTTAAAAGGAAAGCAAAATATGGATCAATTCTGTCTAAAGAAAGGAACGTAAAATATACATAAAAAGAAAACTAGGCTGAAATTAAAGGGAATGCCAAACGTATACTATGCAAAGAGGAAGTATAAAAGCAGAATCTCATATATAATTATAATTTTAATTACATTTTGAATTCTAATTCAAAACAAAACAAACTGCCAGAGATAAATGTATTTTATAATTATAAAAGTTCAGTTTATCAGAAAGACATAATCATTTTTGGGTACAAACAAATAGCAGATTTTAAAAATAAGCAAGGTATACTGAAAGGAAAATAGACCATTAAGTAAACATAGTGGCAGATTTTGACACTTCTCTATCAGTAATTTATAGAACTGCCAAATAAAATTGTAAACACTTTAAAAATCTGACAAAGAATATTCAACCATCTTTACTGAACTTAAATATATGAAAAACTATTCAACAAAAGCAAACATGACCTCTTTTCAAGTGTACATGATAACTTCAACAAAGTAGACCTCATGTAAAACAAGTCCAGTTAATTTAAAATAATTGCCACTATAAAGATTATAGTCTATATTTAAATAGAAGTTAATTAAAGATTAAAAAAAAGCTACCCATATTATCCTGAGTATTTGAGAATTAAGCAGCACACTAGTAAATAACTCCAATAAAAATTATTGTAAAAGAAATAAGAAGATATTTCAGAATTCATGGAAAATAAAACAAAACATATCAAAAGGAACAACATAGCAAAAGCAGTACATAGAAATTTGTAGCATTAAATGGAAAAAGAATTGTTTAAAATTAATGACCTTCTGTTCTGCCTTTAAAAAGAGATTTAAAAAAGAGCAAAGATATCAAGATACGTAGAATGGAACAGATAATAACAATAAAGGTAAGAGCATAAATTAATAAATTAGAAAACATAAAAGCAATAAAAAAATTAACAAAGTTGTACGTTGGTCCTTTGAAGAAGTGAACAAATATATTTCTTTAAAATTCTAGTTAAAAATTATCATTAAAAAAGAAGAAACAAATAATGTTGGTGTTTACCACTACAGGTCATATAAAAATGAAACACATGGTCAGGCTTTATTATGAGTAACTTCAGGCCAACAAGTTAGACCATGTAGATGAAACAGGCAATTCCTTAAAATGTAAACTTACCAGAGCTGGAATAACATAAGATAGAAAATGTGAATAACCTTATCTTTACTGAAGACAAAATATGCTGTCAAATACATTTGCACAAAGAAAAATACAAGACTGTTTTTACTAATGCATTCTAGTATTTATAAAATAAAGGACACCAACCTTTCAAAAACTTGTTCAGACAATAGAGGAAAGTATCCTGTCTCTATTGTCCCCATTAGCCAAATTAATTTAAAAAATTCCAGCTATATACTGTCTACAAGAAACTTACTTTAGATACAAAACCACAAATACATAGAAAGTGAAAGTGAAAAGATATTCTACACAAGTGTTGACCTAAAGTAAGCTGGGACAGATATACTAATATAAAACCAAATTTACTTTAAGTCAAAATTTGTTATAAAACACGAAGAAGGATATTATGTATTGACAAAAAAAGTTAATCCATGAAGAATATGTAAACATTATAAACATTTACATATTTATGAATAGAGCCACACAATATATGAATCAAAGATTGACAGAATTTAAGGGAGAGAAAAGGCCATTGTAAAATAATGGTTGGAGACTTCAGTATCCTACTTTCAATAATGGACAGAATAACTACACTGAAGATCAAGAACAAAATACTGAATTTGAACAACACTGTAAATCAACTAGTCTACCAGACATATATTTAAGACATAACACTCTATACCCAACAGCAGTATGTACTAAATTGACTGGGATAAGGGGTATCCAAATAGCTTGTAAAACGTTAGTTTTTAGTGTGTCAGTTAGGATGTTCCCAAAAGAAATTTGCATTTAAAACAGTAGACTGAGTAAAGAAAATGGCTCTCACAATGTTCGTAGGCATCATCTGATCCATTGCAGGTCCACATAGAACAAAAAGACAGAGAAAGATCAAATTATCTTTCTCCTTAAGCGGGGACATCCATCTTCTCTTGCCCTCAGACATTGGGGCCCTGGTTCTGCAGGACTCCAGAACTCATATCAAGAAGGAACACTCCAAAAAACTCACAAATGTAGAAATTAAACAACACATTTTATAACAACCAATGTGTTAAAGCAGAATTCAAAAAGGAGATTAGAAATTTCTATGAAATGATCAAAAACAAGAACACACACCAAATCTTATTGGATGTAGAGAAAATAGTGCTTAAAGAGAAATTAATAGCTGTCAATACTTCCTTCAGAATGTAAATTTCCCCCACATGAGACAGCTTTGCCGAGTCATTTCAAAATATGTCAAAGAAATATATTTTGGGATAAAATAATTTGATTTTTATTCAGGGCCTGCTATCTGTCATGTGATGCTGTACCAGAGTCAGGTTGAAATTGAGTATCCCATTACTACAAAGAGTCTCTGTTTTAATGTTAGTGCTGCTGTGTTGTGTCTAAACATCCAAGGGACGTGGGTATAATGAGACATGTCTGACACAACCCCCTTCCTGTCATGGCCTTAACTAGTTTTTCAGTTTTGGGGGGAGATTTTCTTGGCCAAGAATGGGGTTCATTCAGTCAATCAGGGAGCTTAGAATGGTGTTTTTGATTTATAAGCGAATACTGTTAATAATTATAATTATACCCCAACAAATCAGATAACTTAGATGAAATGTAAACTATATAGAAATACATAAAATACCAGGAATGACTCATGAAGAAATAATAAATATGAAAATACCTATATCATGTAAAATGATTGAATTGGTAATCAAAACTCCCAGTAAAGGAAAATCCAGAAGGAGATGACTTCATTGGTCAATTTTATCAATGTTTAAAGAGGAATTAACACCAACATTTCTCACCACTACTCTTCTAAAAAATACAGTAAGAATGAATATTTCATCATGCATTCTATGAGGCCAGTATTACTGTGATACCAAGGCCGGATAGGCATCATGGTAAAATATAATTAAAGATTACTATCCCTTATTAATATAGATGCACGATTAATACTAGAAAACTTAATTTAGAGGCATGTTAATAGGTATATACAGTATAACCAAGTGGTATTTATCCCAAGAATACAGGAGGTGGTTCAATGTAAGGAAACCAATGTAATAGACCACACTAATAAAATGAAAGGAAAAACAAAACACATTGTTACCTCTATTGATGCAAAAATAAAAAGCATGACAACATCTTAAACCTTTTCAAGAGAAAAACACTCAGCAAACTGAAAATAGAAGGAAACATTCTTAACATGATAGAGAACATATAGAGAAAGTCCACAGCTAATGTACTTTATAATAAAAGTCATAGAGCTTTCTTCGTTTTGTGAGTTGCCTTACATTACTGAAAAAGACATGATGATGACCTCACCACTAGCACCTGTGAATGTGACCTTATTTGGAAAGATACAAGGAAAATGTGGTAAG
The DNA here is from genome assembly GCF_000001405.40 of Homo sapiens. NCBI lineage: Eukaryota > Metazoa > Chordata > Mammalia > Primates > Hominidae > Homo > Homo sapiens. The sequence goes on from NC_000002.12 coordinate 193,090,310, forward strand.
AAGGGCCCTTGATCTAATATGACTGGTGTGTCCATATAGAAAGGGGAGAAGAGACAAAGAGACAGATATACACAGAAAGGATAATGTCTTGTGAAGACATAGACAAAGGGAAGACACTTACGTGATAAGCAAGGCGGAGATGAAATTGGGGCTAACAAGCAGCAGGCTAAAGAATGCCAAAGTTTGCTAGTAAACTTTTGGAGGTAGGACAGAGTGCATGCTGATACCTTAGCCTCCCAAACTGTGTGGGAGTAAACTTTTATTGTTTTAATTCAGTAGTTTGTTGCAGCAGTCCTAGGAAAGTAATACACCTTCCAGGATCAGGAACAAGACAGTAATGCCCACTTTTACCACTTCTATTCAACACAGTACTAGAAATTCTTGCTAAAGTAATTAGACAAAAACATTAATAAAATCCATCCAAATTGGAAATGAACAAGTAAAACTTTGAAATGATCTTATAGCTAGAAATTTCTAAACTATCCACCAAAAAACCACATTAGAGATAATAAATTAATTCATCAAGTTAGTTGAATGCAAGATTAATACACAAAAATAGTTGCATTTTCATATACTACCAATGAACAATCTGAAAATAAAATTAATAAAACAATTCAATTTATAATATATTTTAAAAAGAACAAAATGCTTAGAAATAGGTTTAGCCAAGGTGCTCTAAAACTTTTACCCTGAAAATGAAAATAAATTCTTGAAAGACACTTAAGACTAATACATAAAAGGACATATCATGTTTTCAGATTACAGGACTTAATATTTTAAGATGGTAATATTCCTCAAGGCATCTATAGATTTAATTCAATAACCATCAACATCCTTATAGCCTTTTATTCAGAAATGGAAAAGCTGATCCTTGCAAATTCATAAAATTACAGGTGACTCTTAATAGAAAAATCTAGAAAAAAGGAGCAAAGTTGGAGAATTCACACATCCTGATTACAAAAGTCACTATAAACTTACAGTAATTGAAATAATCTAGTACTGGCATAAGAATAGATGTTGAGAATAATGGAATTGAATGTAGATTTCTGGAGTAAATTAATACATCTACAGTCAATTGATTTTCAAAAAGGGAGTGAAGATTATTCAATGGGAAAATAATAGTCTCTTCAACAAATGATGCTAGTACAACTAGATTTCTACATGCAAAAGAATGAAAATAACTTGTCTCACAGCATGCACAAAAATAATAACAACTGAAATGTAAGAGAGAAAACTAAACCTCTTAGAACAAAAATATAAGGCTAAGTGTATGTGACCTTGGATTTGGTAATGGAGTTTTAGATATGACACTAAAGTACAACCAACAGAGAAAACCTATAAATTGGACAACATCTAAATTAAAAATGTTTGTGAATCAAATAACTCTATCAATAGAGAAGATGACTCACAAAATGAGAGAAAATATTTGCAAATCATATAGCTGACCGGATTCTACTATCTAGAATACATGAAGAACGCCTGCAACTCAACAACAAAAAGATGAGCAACCTAATCGGTAAATGGTCGAAGGACTTTGAATTTCTACAAGAAAAAAATGCAACTGTCTAGCAAGCATATGAAGATGGTCAACATCATTAATAATTAAGGAAATGCATTTAAAACCACAATGAGATAGCATGTCACATCCACTAGGATGACTGTAATTGAAAAAAAATTAAAACAACAACAACAACAAACAGAAAATAAGAAATGTTGGCAGAGAGAATGTGGAGTAATTGGAATCTTTATATGTTGTTGTGAAAATCTAAAATGGTGCAGGCACTCCAAAAACAGTCTGGTGGCTCTTCAAGAAATGGAACATAGAATTACCATATAACCCCGCAATTCTTCTACAAGTTTACCTTAAAAAAATGCAAACTTTTGGGTTTCTACTTTTACAATAATTGTCTTAGTTGCACTTTGCACAACAGCCAAAATGTATTAATAACCCTACTATCCATCAACTGATAAATGAATAAACAAAATGTAACATATCTATATTCATATTCAGCAATAAAATGGAGTGAAGAATTACTACCTGCTACAACATGATGGACCTTGAAAATGTTGTGCTAAGTTAAAGCACCTAAAACTCTAAGGTCGTATATTGTATCCTCTCATTGATATGAAATATTCAGAATAGGTACATTCATACAGACAAAGAAACAATAGGTTATAAGTTGCCAGAGCATCAAGATAGAGGCAAATGGAGAGTTACTGCTTAGTAGGTAAGGTTTTCTATTTGGCATGATAAAAATGTTCTGGAACTAGAACCTATAGTAATTTCAGAGTATTCCTCTGAAGAAAAAAATATGGTAAGAGTTTTTCTCATTGTCATAATCCAATTTTTCTTTTATCAAAATTGCTATATTTAAAGTGCATTTTCCTTGTCACACAGACCATCTTATTTTTAACATTTTAAAATGAATAATTTGATCTTCTATTGCCTTGTCACTTAACTTTTTATTGTTAATCTACTAGGAGAATTACTAACTACATTTATTCAGCTCTTATTTAATTTAACTTTAAATTACTTTCTTTGTTAACCTATGATATGTGTAATTTTCTTTCTTAAATATAATTCATGAATTCTCATCACAATTTTTCATGCATAGAAATATATTTAAAAAGGGGTTGTTGAGATAAACTCTAAGTTTTAAAAACTAGATAATGTTATTCATCAGTTTTAAAACTCTGAATTGTAAAACAGCCCTAATTAATATTCTATTTCATAGACACACAGAGGGATAAATGACAAAAAAGACACTTTGTTTTATGAAGTCTAAATATATTACTTATGTGGATAAAAACATATTCAAGGAAACAGCCACAGATGCAGACTAGAATAAATATTCGTTAATATTAACATGCCATGCTGTGTTTCTCTGAGAATGTATTCACTTACCATATCAATTAATGTTTGCTGCCTTGAAACATATGTAAATATATAGCACTATCAACCTGACAGACCACTAAGTAAACAACTTAATCTACCTTTTGTAAATTACTATATTATGAAAATGTACAACATAATTTACGTTGTACAACATAATTTACAACAAATTACGTAATTTCTATAAAGCATTGTTTTATTATGTATTGTTTAGTTAAGAAATAACAACTTGCCTGTAATCCCAGCACTTTGGGAGGCCGAGGCGGGCGGATCACGAGGTCAGGAGATCGAGACCATCCTGGCTAACACGGTGAAACCCCGTCTCTACTGAAAATACAAAAAATTAGCCGGGCGTGGTAGCGGGCGCCTGTAGTCCCAGCTACTCGGGAGGCTGAGGCAGGAGAATGGCGTGAACCCGGGAGGCGGAGCTTGCAGTGAGCCAAGATCGCGCCACTGCACTCCAGCCTGGGCGACAGAGCGAGACTCCGTCTCAAAAAAAAAAAAAAAAAAATAACAACTTACACCCAAAGTGAAAGGTGATACTGTACTACTGTGCAGTGGTATTTCTCTCTTCCCTGAATAATTATATGCTTTAGGTGGCTAAGAAAGCATACTGTTTTCATTAGCACAACAGCTCTATGATCTGTATTTGTTTACTTTTCAATGTTTCAAAATAAAACTTAGAGGTGTTAAATGTGTGACGTAGTATAAGCAATTGCTTCTTTTTTCACCCCAATCTAATGGAAATAATACTTATATAAATACCTATAACTCATTCTACATCGAGTAAGTACTTGGCTATTTAAGCTAGTATTTTAAGATTGGTGGTCTAATAATTATTGAACCAATTGTTTTTCTGAATACGTGCTGATATGAATGGAAAGACTAGAGATAACAAATTACACTTTTTTTCCACCTGGTTGGTATACGTTCGAACATAAATACTTGGGAAAATTATGTCTCCTATTGTTCCTGAATGTCTAACCCAAATAAACTTAGGTTAAAAATAATCAATAAAATTCAAATATGATTTATTTTTAATATACTATGAGAGAATAAGGGATACCATTGTTTTCAAGGAAAACTGAATCCAAAGCTTAAATGTGGTTGTCAGAAGTATCTGCTATTTTCTACTCTATCTCCTTTCCTTTTTCTTTTTTTAACTTGGCCTCATCATTTACAACTCCAGCGATTTCCTGTAAGATAAAAACAACCAGACCAATAAACAGAAATCAGATTCATGTTCATTCAGTAATTTAACCCCAGAGTCCTGAGGATTTTTATATTTATCTTAGCAAAAAAATTATTTTGTGAGGAGTTGTTTGCCATCTTTTGTTTCATTACTCCCCGTGTCAGTTGGTGGTAGTTGTTGAGAGAAAGCTGGTGAGCTGAGATCCAATATTGGAAAAAGAAGTAAAGGTAAAAATTTCCATAAGCAAAACATAAACAGGCCTGCAGAAAAAAATATATTATATATAATTCGTGTAAAATGTAGGTTAAATCTGTATTGTCTCTCACTTACATGAAAAGTTAGTTTATACTCAAAATGTTTCTAAGAGAATTGTGTCTATAAGCCATACTTTCACATATATTGAATTTGTACATTCCCTATGAAAAACTACATACTTTTAATGAGGTTCAAGAATCATTTTTAATAATTATTTCTTGGTGTGGGACTGGAGAAACCAATCAGAATATTAGCCCATAGACCAGCCTTTTAATACATTCTTTAAAATCAGAAAATTTGGAAATAGAAATGAATTTAGATCATTTAGCCACAAATATTTCACTTACAGGTAAGAAAACTAACTTGGGAATAGGGTAAATAACTTTTCCAAAGTCACTTATGAGTTGATAAGCAGTGACAACTAAAATATTCTTAATTTCCTTATTTTAGAAGCTCCCATCAAGACTTAAAAGTACAGTAGTTGCAGGATTTACCCAGTCAAGGAAACAATGCTGGCTTAAGAAGTCAGGTACAGTCCTCATCTAAATGTATACATTTCTGGTGTGAACAAACACAGCTTGTTGCTTTGCCAGCTATTGTCTCCTGTCCGTAACAGGCTCCTTTGAGGTCCACTCCTCTGCTGAGGAGATGTGATAAAGAGAATCCCCATTGTTAAAAGGTGAGAAAAAAATTATCCAACAGAACAAAAGTCAGGATGAGGAAATCAGAAATATTACAGGCAATAAGACCAAGGACAGATGAAGAGCTGAAGAGAATTGATGTAATTCACAGAGGTACAGAATGACATCTCAGATAACAAGCTTTCTAAGAATAATCTTCTAATTCACCAATAAAAAGAAACTACTTAATTTTTCACTTACTGATATAGTATGTGTTTCTTATTCTAACCTCAGCCATGTAAACTTTTAGAAATTTTGACAAAAAAGGGAAGATAGTATTTATCTCAACTAGATAAATAAAAACAAGAAGTAAAGCACAATTTCAGTCATTTTAACCTATATTGCTATTATTTTTACCAATATATTTACCTATATTTCTAAAATAATTGTCTTACTTTTAAAAGTAGTGTTTTCACCTCTTGTACCATCACTTTTGTCATTACTTTAATGTAACCATTAATCAGAGATACATGTATAGCCTAAATACCTCATTAATAATAACATACTAATCATAAATGGAAATCATATATAATATCAAAGAAATATTTATTACTCAAATCACAGCATTGATTACATGTTTACTAAAACTGAGATACTGTATTAAGTGGCTCACAGAGATTATTTCATTCAATCATTACCATGTCTTTTGAAGATTGTGTAATAGTTAACAGGCAAAAACAATATTTGAACAGGATTGTTTAATTTGAGAACTCAAATTACTAGCTATTACACTTCTATAAAAATAAGTTGTACAGAGTAAAAAAATCACTAACATTCTAAAGAAACAAAATGATAGAAAACAGTAATATGTAAAATTTAAAATGACAAATATCTAAGTAGGGCATTTATGGTATACTACATTCTAAGTAATAGCATGGATGCAAATACATTAATTCAAACATATTTGAATAAAATATGTATCATAAAGGTATAGTACGTCAAATCTTTGGGGTCAAAAGGAACATGAGAAATAAGAAAGGGTAGTTACAGTGGGGTATGTTGGCTCACGCCTTGTAATCCCAACACTTTGGGAGGCTGGGGGAGTGGATCACTTGAGATCAGGAGTTCGAGACAAGCCTGGACAACATGATGAAACCCTGTCTCTACTAAAAATACAAAAAATGAGGCGGGCGTGATGGTGGACACCTAGAATTCCAGATACTTGGGAGGCTGAGGCATGAGAATCTCTTGAACCCAGGAGGCAATGCTCCAGTGAGCCAAGATTATGCTACTACACTCCAGCCTGGTGACAGAGCGAGACCCCATCTTAAACAAGAAGAAGGGTAGTTACAAGATTAGGTTTAATGATTAATTTGAATGGAATTAAAAATTATTAGAGACAATGTTGATAAAATTCACAATACCATAAAACATTATTATTTTGTTCAATTTAATTTTGATAAAAAGCAATATATAATTTAAAGAAATTTTGTTATTAGCAATTAAGGAAGATGTAATAACTTACCACAAACCCTAAAAATAATGAGCCTGTCATTGATATGGTTTCAGTAAAGATAAATATAGTAATTCAACACAATTGAAAAGCCAAATACTTAGTGATTATATAACATAGTGTATAAATTTATCCATATTAAGTTAGTGTCATTTTAAAATCACATTGCAATATTTTGGTTAGGTTCCGTGTAATGTTAATACAATGTATGTGTCTCCTTAAGAATATATTAATTGATATTTTTAAAGTTCTTTTAAATTACATTGAGTAATTTAAAACTCAATGTAAATTGAGTAATTACATTGTAATTGAGTAATTTAAGTAAATTACAATGAGTAATTACATTGGTACTTTTAAATTACACTGAGTAAAACTTCAGTGTCAGATACATAAGAATTGAATTTTATTAAAGTAAAAATAATTACCTGTTAATTTAGCGACCCTAAATAATATATTTATTCACAAACTACAAAATATTAAGTGATTTTTTTAATTTTGAAAAAGTACTATTTCCTTCATTTCCTGTAATAATTTTCTCAGTTCACAACTACTATCATTATTTTCTATATATTTTGAATGTATTTATGATTTTTATGCAAATATGCAATATTCAGTTGATTATTTTTTGACTAACATAAATGTAACCTATGTTTCATATAACTCTGTCAAAACATACATTGGTGTTTTTCTCATTATAATGCAAAATTATATAAAAACATTATGATCAGAATTTTCTTAGGTATAACATAGTCTTTACTATTCCTAATAGAGATAATTTTATAAGTTTTTATATATCATTATGTATAATTATGACTAACTTTGAGAGGATTAGGAAATAATTCATATTTTAAGGTAAGAAACATTCAGAACTTTTTACCCATATTTAATAACAAAATATCTTTAGAAATTTTAGAAACTATAGTTTTACTTCGATTTTTCTGTTCAAAATGCCTATTACTGATTTGTCTGACACAAGGAAAAAATATGAGGATAAAAAAACTGTTATTTACAAATCTTAAAATGTATTTTTTAATTGACAGGAAGAGTTGTATATATTTATCATGTATAATATAGTTTTGAGAAATAAATACATTGTGGAGTAGCTAACTCAAACTAATTAATATATGCATTACCTCACATACTTAACATTTTGTGGTAAGAAAACTTAAAACCTACTCTCTTGGATATTTTCAAGAATGCAACATCTTGCCATGAATTATACTCACCATGTTGTACAATAGATCTCTTAAACTTAGTCTTCCTAACTGAAGTCATTTGTCCTTTGAGTAGCTTATCTCCAACCTCCTCCACCCTCCCAGCCCTAGTAATCACCATCTACTCTCTGCTCCTATATGTTCAATGATTTTAGATTCGACCTATAAATGAGATCATGTGATATTTGTCTTTCTGTGCCTGGCTTATTTCACTTACCAGAATGTCCTCCAGGTCTATCTATGCTGTCACAAATGGCAGGATTTTCTTTTTCTTATTTTTTCTGGTTGGATAGTATTTGTGTGTCTGTGCGTGTGTGTGCATTTATCACATTAACACACTTTATGTATCCATTCATTGATGAACACTTAGGTTGATTCCATATCTTGGCTATTGTGAATAATATTGCAATAGACATAGGAGGGCAGATATCTCTTTGACGTGCTGACTTCATATTCTTCAGATATATACTCAGTAGTAGTGCTGAATTACATGGTAGTATTTTTTTGAGGTACCTCCATATTGTTTTCCATAATGGCTATACAAATTTACATTCTTACCAACAGTTACAAGGGTTGCCTTTTCTCCATAACCTCACCAATACTTATTATCTTTCCTCTTTATGATAATGGCTTTATGATAATGACTTTATGATAATAGCCATTCTAAGACATATGAGGTTATATCTCATTCTGGTTTTGACTTGAATTTCCCTGATTTTTACTGATGTTGAGCATTATTTCACATATCTGTTGGCTCTTTGTATGTCTTCTTTTGGGAAATGTCTACTCATGTCCTTTGACCATTATTTATATTGTTTTCTTGCTATTAAGTTCCTCACATTTTTGGATTTTTTTTTGTATGATGTATTGTTTTCAAATATTTTCTTACATTTCTTAGGTTGTCTCTTTACTCTGTTTTTTGTTTGTTTGTTTCCTTTGTTCTGTAGAAGATTTTTAGTTTGATGTAATCTCATTTGTCTATTTTTGTTTTTGTTACTTGTGATTTTAGGGTCATATCCAAAAAATAATTGCTTAGGCCAATGTCATGGAGCATTTTACTGAGTAGTTTCATAGTATAAGGTCTCACATTTAAGTCTTTAATTCATTTTGAGTTACTTTTTGTATATGATATTAGATGAGTTTAATTGCAGATTTCTGCATGTGGATGTGCAGTTTTCTCAGTACCATTTATTGCAAAAATTATTCCTCACCCATTGTTTATTCTTGGCACCTCTGACAAAAAATAATTAAGCATAAATACATAAATTTTTTTCTGGACTGTTTATTCTGCTCCATTGATCTAGGTTTCTGTTTTTACGCCAGTACCATGCTATTTTTATTACTATAGCTTTGTAATAGATTTTGAAGTCAGGTAGTGTGATGTTTCCAGTTTTATTCTTTGTAATCAAAATTGCTTTCAGTATTCTGCATCTTATGTGGTTCTATACAAATTTTGGGATAATATTTTCCTGTTTCTGTGAAAGTGTCGTTCGAATTTTGATACAGATTAGATTGAATCTGTAGATCACTTTCGGTAGTATGTTCACTTTAACATGAATTCTTCGGACCCATGAACATAGGCTATCTTTCCATTTGTTTGTGTCGTCTTCAATTTCTTTCATCAATGTTTTAGAGTTTGTAGTATATATGTTTTTCACCTCCATGGTTAAATTAATTATTAGTACTTTATTTTTTTAAATGATTGTAAGTGGAACTTTTTTCCTTGAAATTTTTTTCGCAGAGTTGGTTGGTTTCTAGAAGTGCTACTGATTTTTGTAAGCTGGTTTTGCAATGTGCAACTTTACTGTATTTCTTTATTATTTGTAAAAGTTTTCTAATGGAGTCTTTAGGGATTTTTATATATAAGATCATGTCATCTGCAAACAAAGATAATTTAACTTTTTGAATGCCTTTTATTTCTTCTTGCTTAATTGTTCTGCCTAGGACTACCAGCACTTCATTGAAGAGAAGTGAAAAGAGTAGACATGATTGTCTTGCTCCTGATTCTAGAGGAAAAAATTTCAGCTATTTTGAGTATAATATTAGCAGTAAAATTTTATATAGGCTTTTATTTTATCAAAGTACATTCCTTCTATATTTAAATTTTAAGAGGTTTATCAAAAAAGCATGTTGAACTTTGGCAAATACTTTTTTCTGTGATATTTTGAGGTGATTATGTATTTTTATCCTTCATTTTGTTAATGTGGTATATCACATTTATTGATTTTCGAATATTGAACTATCTTTGCATCCCAAAGATAAATCTTACTTGATCTTGGTGAATAATTCTTTTAATATAATGCTGCTAACAGTTTGTTGAGGATTTTTGCACCTTTAATACCATCAGGCATATTGGCTCACATAATAAAATGGGATTCATGTTATTATTGATTCAATTGTTTACAGTGTTGTCCAGATTTTCTATTTCTTTATAGCTCAGTCTTGGTAGGTTTTGTCTGTCTAGGAATTCATCTGTTTATTCTATCTTATCCAATTTACTGGCATATATTGCTCATAGTAATCTCTTTAATCCTTTCTATCTTTCTGGTTCCAGCTATAATGTCTCCTCTGTCATTTCTGATTTTACAGTATTTGAGTCTTCTTTCTTTTTTCCTTAGTCTAGCAAAATATTTGTTATTTTTTTCTTTTCAAAAACCAACTATTAGTTTCACTAGTCTTTTCTATTGTTTTTCTGGTCTTTGTTTTATTTATTTCTGCTTTGATCTTTGTTTCTTTTTACATCTACTGTCTTTAGGCTCAGTTTATTCACTTCTTTTTAGTTCCTTGAAGTGTAACCATAGGTTATTTATTTGAATTTTTTCTCTGTTTTTGATAAAGGAATTTATTGTTGTAAACATTTCTTTTAAAACTGCTTTATCTATATTCTATAAGTTTCGGTATCTTGCATTTTCTTTTAATTTGTCTCCACATAGTTTTAAACTTCCCTTTTAATTTCTTCTGATCATTGGTTGTACAGAAGCATGTTTTTAATTTCGAGATATTTATGAATTTTCAGACATTCCTTTAGTTATTCATTACCAGATACATACCATTTTCATCACAAAAGAAAATTGCTCTAATCTCAATCTTCTGAGATTTACTGACTTGTGCTTTTGCCGAATTTTTTCAAATATTATAACTGTTTTGTATTTCCTTTTTTCTTTCATCCTCTCTTGCTGTCTGCCATTGTGATCAGATGATTTTCTTTAGTGGTGTGCTATAATTGCTCACTATTTTTCTTTTGTGTACTACTATAGCTCTTTGCTTAATGGTTACCATGAGACTGACATAAACATGAGAGTTACAAGAGGCTTCATAAAGTTGACTTCAATTTAACTTTGCATTAAAAAAACTCTACACATTTTTCCTATTTCCTCCACCCTTTTTATTTTTGATGTAGCAACTTACATCTTTTGATATTATATATATCCTTTTTTTTTTTTTTGAGATGGAGTCTTGCTATGTCATCAGGCTGGAGTTCAGTGGCACGATCTCGGCTCACTGCAACTTCTGACTCCTTAGTTCAAGCTATTCTCCTAACTCAACCTCCTGAGTAGCTGAAATTACAGGCCACTATGCCCTGCTAATTTTTGTATTTTTAGTAGAGACGGGGTTTCATCATGTTGGCCAGGATGGTTTCACTCTCCTGACTTCGTGATCCACCCATCTCGGCCTCCCAAAGTGCTAGTATTACAGGTGTGAGCCACCGTGCCCGGCCTGTATTATGTGTATCTTAATACATTATTGTAGGTATTATTATTAACAATAAGAGTGTGTAAGGGCCAACCAGACACTGTGATTGACCTGGCACCTGGTTCCACTGGGATGGGTCTGGAATGCCCATGGGGCTGACCTGGTGCTTGTCACCTGGTGCTGGAAGCCATTGGGCTAGGCCTGGATGCTGAGTGTATAAGGAATGGCATAGAGTCTGGGTATGGAGGAGTGGTCCTGGAACCTGAGTACATGAAGATCAGCTTGACACCAGGGTCTTAGAATGGGCATGTACTCAGGGTCTACTAGAGTAGACCTGAACCCTGGGTCTATGGGAACCTGGGGCCATGGGGACCAGCCTGGAGCCAGGGGCCAGCTTGAGATTGGGGCAGGTGTAAAGCTTAGGCCTGTGGGGTCCAGTTTAGAGCCTAGGATTGTGGGTAATGGCATGGTGTCTACAGCCATAGGGGATGACTTGATGCCTGGGGCCATGAGAATAGGCCTGAACCATGGATCTATCAGGGCCTTTTTGGAGGCTGGGCAGGCAGGTGCTGGCCTAGAGGCTAGGTCTGGGAGGAGTGGCTTGGGTCCTATGGCCATAGGGGCTGTTCCATAACTTATTTCCATGGGGACTACCCTAGAACTGGGGTCTGCTAGAATGGGCCTGGACCATGGATCTGCTGCAGTATAAGGCTGCAGGGGCCAGCCTGGAGAGTGGGGCTGCAGATAGTTACCATGCACTGAGCAGGCCTAGGGCTTGTGTTCACAGGTAAAGCCTTATTGTGTTAGGGTAAGAGTGTCAGCCTAAAGTTGGGGCAAGCCTGAAGCCTGAGGTTGTGTGGCTAACCTGATTCTGGGGTGGTCTGGAATCTGGGACTGGCTTCAAACCTGGGGATAAGGGGCCTTCCTGGAGGCTGAGTCTATGGGTATTATCCATATGACTGGGACTGCTGGCAAAGTGCTGAATTTGGCCTGAAACCTGAGGTCTTGGCGGCTAGTCCAGTGCTGGCAAAATAATTATTATTGAAATGCAATTTAGACTGTATTCTGTGAAAATATATCCATTGTTAAAATATATTATATTTATGAAAGAACTTTTAAATATATAATAAGCAATCCTCATCCTTGTGTTTTTACCACTAAAAAGTGGAACTTTAAATAGATGCTAGAAAATGTCCAAGAAACATATATAAAATATAATAAGCATGTAAAATTACAGACATATTGAAATGTTTACATTTAATAATTCCAATTTTTATGACCCTAGCAATCAAGTAGAAGATGTGATTATGACTACCAAGAGTTTATAAAATGAACAAGCACAAGCAAACAAAAATCTAGAAACTCTTAATGTAAAGGTCAGCAGGACAATTTTAGTGAAATCAAAAGTAAACACAACTTTACTTACACGAGAATTTTTTAATTGCTAGGAGAAATAACCTAGAGATATCTCATAGACACATTTCTTAGGCTCAAACAGAAGATAGTGCAAACTATAGGGAAATTAAGAGGTCTAAAGTTCAAATAATGTTTCATTTGCTCACTCCTCTATTAGCATTCTGACTCATGAAAAATTTAGTAACCAGAAGTAGTGAGTCATTCTATTGCTGTAGGAGTGGATGCTATCCTCTTCTCTATTAGTTGTGTACATTGAAACTCAAAAACTAATTAAAATTTGTTTAAAGTATACAATGTAGCATTCCAAGTGAAGATAAATATAACTTGACACTAATTATTATAATAATTGGTGTTAGAGACAATTATCACATGAAAATATGGCATTAAGTATTGTTAAATAAATCTTTAATTAATTGGAGTTAATCTGATCAATTTTATTTAATTTTACTCAAGGAGTTTCTAAAGTTTGAAAGCAAAGAAATAGAAAGCAAAGATTTCAGAATTATTTAGGGGGCAGTAAGTCATGTATACAATTTATTCTAAAATTCGATCACTATTATTTTCATAACGGCTATCTTGCTTCTGCATTTCTCAGTCTATAATATGTTTATCGTAGTTTTATGTTTTCATTTATCTCACTCTTATGGCAAGTTTCTAAGTGTCTTTCCTTTACAATCCAGTCTCATCCTTGTGATTTGAGTCATAAATTATACCTACATTTTCACGTGACCCTTTTTAAACTTGAAAGCTAGAAGTCTGCTTTAGTTTTTATTTGTCTCTGAGTCTCCAAACTCCACTGTTAACAAAATCTCAGTCCATCTATGCATTGTCTCTAAAACCAAAAGCTTTCCTTTTATTTCCACTCTCCTACAGTCCTTTTAACTCTTGCTTAAACGTCTAAAATGGCATGCCATGTAGCATGCTTGCTTTTAGTTTCCATCATTGTATGCAGCGAAGGTGACCAATCTTCGTTTGATCAGTTCTGTTAATATTATTATCTACTAACCAAGCTCCGGTTTCCAGATCTTCCTTTATACAATCATTGGTATAAATTTAGCATTACCTGCAATCTCATAAAAACTCACTTTGCCAAATGTTTTTCTTCCTATATCCTGTACACATAGTCTGTATTTCAAATACTCATAATTTCTTGAATTTACCTTGAACTTTTCTATAACCATGCCCAAGCTGTTTTCTCCATATGAAGTTGTCCTTATTGGGATTCCATAGCTTGTAGTTATGGATTAAATATTAACTCAGTCATGATGTCTTTCAAAATCTTATATCAGAATCAAGCTCTCTTACCATACAATGGTTACTTATTTGTACCACATACATAAAGTATTTATAAGATATCTGCTTCTCCATTCTATCATGAATAACTTGAAGACAAAAGGTCTTTTGCTCATTGTTCTTTGAACTGCTATTTTTTTCTGGTTTGGTAAAGTGCGCCTAAAATGTATTAAATAAATCAGCATTGGATGAGTTAACATTAACATTAATTAGCACCAGTAATTCAATACTGATGTCACCAACTCAAAATAGATAATAAATAATTTTCTATTAACTTTTATCAAAGTTTATTTTTCATAAACTATTACTAAGCCTATTAATTATAATATTAATATTTTCAAAGTCTTCTATTTCTCTTTTTCTAAAAATTATTAGTTGTTTTCTTTTAAGAAAATACTAAACATGGATTGTAAAAAAATAGAAAATACATATTGGTAAAAGAAAAAGGCCTAATTTCTATTATTTTACCATTACTAATTAATTACAATTTGTACTTTTGCACTTTTAAAAAGACTCTCTAGGCTTTTCATTGTATATGTACACATGTATTAAAAAATAGTTTAGCCTATATTCATATTTTAATCTATTGTAGTGGCTACTTTGTATTCTCTAAAAAATTATTAAAATTTTTAAAACTAAGTTTCTCCATTTGGGCATTAAACTGATTTGCATTGTTAAAAATCTTATTATAATTTGGGTAGCAATGGATATTATAGTACATATTGAGAAAGTTTTGAAAATAAAAGTGCATATTCACTCTAAATAAAATAATAATGAATAAAATTACAAACTTATTCTTGAAGTCAATTACAGTTTTTTTAATGGTGACTTCCTAGAGTTTGAATTACTGTATCGGATTATAAATATTTTTAAATTCATCAAATACCCCTGACATCTTTAGATGATCAAATTGATTATTTTATATATATATATATTTGTCTATAAAGCCAACATAAATTTTCAATCAGATTAGAATGACTCATTTTTAAAGAATATTGGTTGATTTACCTTATAACTTGTTCATTTTTTTATATAAGAACATGAGCCAGGAAGTCATCTGCCTTCTTACAAACAAGGATAGAAAATAAAATGTCAATTTTGTGAATATGAGTACTAAGCTGTTGCCTAAAGGACAATTGAATTATTATCAGTAATTATTTTTAGATAGTGTGAAATTCATAGATTATCCTTCGACCTAATGAACTTAAAATTTTAACCTGAACAAATTAAGTTGAGTTAGTGATAGGAATATCTTTGGGGATGCATTCAAATTGGATATAAACATATCAATTTTAATTTCTCATCACATTAGCACTGACTAAACTCTAAAATTTACTCATATCTTGTTGTAATGGACAGTAAAACCAAACTTGGCATCCTAGGCTATAGCTTTACTTAATCAGAGAAATCAAACATGACTCTCTGACTTGACTAAACATAGTTGACACAATTATATTAAGTACACATATCACTTCTGAAGACATATTACAGTAAATCTTTTATTATTCTTCCGATGTCAAAATAGTACCACATTATCTGCTACAAATTCAGTAACATAAAGATTAATTTGTTATTTATTCTATATATTTTACATGAAGCATTTAGAAAATATTACATTTTCTCTATGTGTCTCTCTTTAAATTTTCTGGCGTAACCTATAAATCTATTTAGAGAAGCTTTCTCTTATCCTCAGCATATATTTCACAATACAATACACTTAATTATCTTTCTACCAAAATTTAGAATGAGCATAATCAAATGAACTTACAGATCATCTGTTGGTTACTCAGCTACTTGAATATTGTATATAATATTAAGATTTTAAATTGAACTAAAGTTTTCTTGTAATACAGGAAAGAATAAAAATATGCATTATAAATTTGATTCATACAATCTGAAACTGCAATACACTAAAAGAAAACATAGAGGGATAGCTCTATGACATCGGTCTGGGCAAAAATAAAATGTTTAATATGACCTCAAAAGCACAAGCAACAAAAGCAAAAATAGATAAATTGGATTATTCAAACTAAAATGCTGTGCACAGCAAAGGAAATAATCAGCAGAATGAAGAGACAACTGTACAAATCTATTACTTTAAAAATGATTTTGATAAATTTTTATAGATAATATATTTGAGATGACAATTATAAAAATCAAATATTATTTGGTATTCAAAATGTTGAGACATATACATGTAATATTAATCTTCTGATCTTCGCAAGTTCATCCCTTTGGAATATGAGTTCTAAATTTTAAATAAGGAACAAAACCAGCTAGAATAATAGTGACCTTAGCTTACATTCCAGATTGTTATATTTTGCCCATGGTTTTGTTCTCTAATACACTGAAATTTATTCATCCATTCATTCATTTATTGCACTGTATTGACAGATTAATATGACCCTGGCTTTTTTCAAGTACTGGGGTTACAACCATGGACTAAACAAAAAGATAATCTTTGCTACCATGGAATTATATTGCACAGTGATAATATGATAAATCATAGTAAGAAAGAATAAATAAATAAAACTCAATTACACTGTGAGCCACACAAGAAAAGCAAAAATTAAGCTGGACCTCAATTAGTTAAAGGTTTTCTGCTAATAAATGGCAGAAACATTAATGACAAGAATAATAAGGAAATTTGTTGGATCATTTGCTTGTTTTTCTCACACTTTCTAGATATCACTCTAAATAAGAAGGAAGCTGTTCTCTGCAGATTACATCTGAGATCAGCAAAAAGAATGCATTGGTTGGACATTGGCAGGTGGAGAGGTGGATGAAAGGAAAATCAAGAGTATTAATTCTGTCTTTCATCTCTCTGGCATCTACAGCAGCGACTCTATCTTCTATGTTTCTGGATTCCAACTGAAAACATTTTCCTACACAGTTCCAACCTCTTATTTGGATATAGTCCTAGGCCTAAAAGGTCCAGTTTTCTTTGGTTAGGTTCCATCTCTACTCCCATTGACTCTGCAGCCCTGTAATTGGCAGCTGTCTCCTTGTTGCTAATATAGGGGCATCCTAACCATTTTCTATGTGTCTTGCCACCTCTTTCATCCCGCACTACCAATTTATTTTACTGATACTCTTATTTTAAAATACCTAGGGTAGTTTACATTTTTTCCATTTAGATTTATATTAGTTAAAAAATCGATCTCTACAAAAACCTAGAGAGTAAAAGTGATTATTAACTTTGCCCAAAATTATCATAAGAAGTTAATAATTGTTAATAGTTATATACTTTTAAGACTTTCAGAAGTCTAATTGTCTCATAGTATGCATAAAGATATTTCCACTCATTTTCACAAGAAAACTGATGCCAAAATCTATCTATAGAAAACAAATCTTAAGCAATGCTTGTGTTAGAGAATCAATATCTTGCTTTACTTTGTTTTAAAAGTGTAAGAACAATTTTTAATTTCTTTTGAAATGTATTTGATTATATATTTTTTAAAAAGTACCGGGCTTGACCCCGCAGCATACTACCTGCATTAAAACCATCTTTTGTAAATGAGTTAGTAAAATTGTCATCAAATGTGATCATATGGTAAAAATCCCAAACATCCCCCTCAGAGACACAATTTTATAATTTTAAAAGTATAATGAAAAACTTAACATAAAGCATGAAAACATTATACATTGAAAGATTCAAATTATAATTATGTAGGTTTTCTATGGTACAAATCCTGTCTGGATCCTGGTAGTTTTTATGTATATACTTTCAGCATCTGGAATATCATTTTCTCTTTGTTACAAAAAGCACAAAGGAATAGATAAGTGGGGTAGTAGATAAGTAACTACAAAATAAATGGAATTATAGGTATTCTATTATAGTAAAACATTGGTGTGAGTACTCTTTATTTCATTTAGTTTTCCCAACTACTTTTTCCTTTTTAGAACTAACCTGATTTTCTATTTTAACATTGATTTTAACAGTATATTTTTAGTAATTATCTGAAATTTGAAATATCAAATCAATGAGAATATTGAAATATGAAAATAAATGTTATATTCAACAAAGTATGATGAGAAATAAAATAAATTAATCTGGATAAATAATCTTTTTAATTAAGTGATGAATCACTTACTTTTTAAAGAAAGTTATAACATTCAAAATTTGGTGGGAATTTGATTGGAAGGAATGTAGAATGAAGAGTATTTTGGCAATATCTAGAAAATTGCAGTGACTTTTTTACTTTAGTAAACTCACTTCTAAAAATCAATTCCAAGAATATCTTGTTAAAATATCATCGGCTACTTAATTGCAGTGCTATTAGTAATAACAGAAGAAGGAAAGGAAATGTTCACCGCAAAAAGACAATGGCACATTCCCATGAACAAGTACTATAGTGCTGTAAAAATAAATGAAAAATATTTCTATATATTACCGTGGCAGTGATGATATGGTTAGACTTTTTGTCTCTACTCAAATCTCATCTTGAGTTGTAATCCCCGTAATCCCCACACATCAAGGGAGAGTCCAGGTGGAAATAAGTGAATCATGGGGACAGTTTCCCCCATGCTGTTCTCGTGATAGTGAATGGGCTCTCAAGAGATCTGACGGTGTTATAAGGGGCTCTTACCCCTTTGCTGGGCACTTCTCCTTCCTGCCACCTTGTGAAGGAGGTGCCTTCCTTCCCCTTCGCCTTCCACCATGATTGTAAGTTTCCTGAGGACTTTACAGCCATGTGGAACTGTGAGTCAATTAAACCTCTCTCTTTTATGAATTACCCAGTCTCAGGGAATTCTTTATTGCAGTATAAAAATAGACTAATAGAAGTGATATTTAATTCTGATTTTGATCACCCCCAGAGACCTGTCAGGGGGACTTTTAATTGTCACAACTAGCGAGTCCTACTGACATCTGGATTACAGAAGGCAGGAATATTGTTAATCTTCCTATAATATACAGAACAGCCCCCTAACAAAACAAAGAGTTATCCAGTTCAGAATGTCAAATTTGAGAAACCCTTTACTAGGGTAATGAAGGATTTCAGGAGATCCACCTTAAACTATGCTGCTTGGGCATATTTATTTTGTCTAACCATATCATCACTGTCACAGTAATATGTAGAAATATTTTTCATTTATTTTTACAGCACCATAGTTCTTGTTCATTGGAATGTACCATTGTCTTTTGTTGGTGAACATTTGCTTTCCTTCTTCTGTTATTACTAATAGCACTGCAATTAAATACCTGATGATATTTTAACATTAGGTACCAGAAGGGCACTCTGATCTCCTGTTTTCATCCTAAATGCAAATCATGAAATTCCAATGTAAAAAATGTCCTCCCTATAAAAGAAAAAAAGAAATGTTCTTATCACCAGAGATGAGTCAAGGTGGAAAGAAATCTGTACAAACCTTGTCAAACTAACCCTTATCTTCCTAATTATGTTTCTACAATTGCCATTTTATTCAATTTGGTATATAAGCAGTTAGTCTTAGCCACTTCTTGGGTTTACATATTCCTGTGAAGACTCCCATGTACATATAACATTTTATTAAATAAAATCTGCATGTTTTTCTCCTGTTAATCTGTCTTATGTTAAATTCTTAGACCAACCAAAAAACTTATGAAGATAGAGGAATAATTTTTTCTCCTCTACCTACATTTTCAACAATAGGTTAAAACTTTTAAAGTAAAAACATCAAGGTGGAGAATATTGTGCATAGGATACTATGCACAATATATTCACATATAGACACTATTAACTTTTTAAATGAAACATAATTAATACATTTTAAAAATTACAAAGCTTGGATTGGAGGAATAAATAGAAGGAAATACAGATAAAAGCTAAAATCCCCTGAATAGTCTGTATGGTTTAAGTTAAAAACAAAAACTCATAAAATTAAAGTAAAAATTCAAAATCAAATGGTTGTATAATATGGTTAATATTGCTTATCAGAAATAATTTAATTACAAATAATGTGTAGGATAGATTGGGAGAAAGTGGAGAAACCACTGGGTACCATGATCAAGGAGATGGCACCGTTTTGTGTTCTTATTGCCTTTACAAAGATTGAACCCAAACGAAGGAGTTAAAAAGACAAAGATTAGTGCTACAATGGAGAATGGGGACACTTGAAAGACCTAAGATTTAGAGAATTAAGGAGGAAATAGAATAAAGAAAGATGGTAATTTTGGAAAGAAATAAAAGGAAGCATACTTCTTTTTGGTGTTAGAGGCACAAAATGAATGAAGATGCAGGGGTATTTTTGAGGTGGAGAGCCTGAGATTGAGTAATTATCCTTGTAAAACAAATTTGATTTTTAAAGATTATTTACTGAATGTGAGAATCCTGGGCTTACATTGTGAATTTAAGGAATGTACAATGTATGGAAACTGTGGATTCAGAAATACTTTCAAAGTCATTTGGAGCAAGAAGTAAAAAAAGAAATCCCATGTTGTGAATAATTGTTGAATAAACCATAAGGAAATCTGAACAGTTTAACTACATGTATCTCTGCCAGTCAATGTAGAATATCTTCTTCAACTGCATAAAGGAAAAAAAAAAGTAAGAAGACATTACATTGCCTTATTTTCTGCAGTATTCCCTCTAATTATATTTTGAAGTATCAACCCCCTTTCTTTAGATACATTTTCTTTTAAAAAATTAATTAATCATTTTTAATTGGCAGATAATATTTTATGCATTTACCAAAACATGATGTTTGAAGTATATATATACATTGCAGAATGACTAATCTAGCTAATTAGCATATGCATTACATAGTTATCATTTTTGTAGTGAGAGATTTTACATCTACTATCATTGCAGATTTAGGAATATAATATATTGTTAACTATTGTCACCATATTGTACAGTAGATCTCTAGAATGCATTTCTCCTTAAAAATATATATATTCTTTTCAATATATAATAGAGTTTATTCAATATATATTTACATGGAACAAAAATCCATGATTATATATGCATATTAAATATGTATTACAATTCATAACATTTATTATGTAATGGTTTCCATTACATATTTTTACAATTACATGAAAATCATGAAATAATGTATACTTACAAGGGAAAAAAATGAATATGTGTTGTAGCATTTAGACAGATATTTCTCATAAATAGCAGAGTTACGATAATTCAAAAAGCTCCTCTCCCCTTTTTTTCTAAGGTACAAATTAACAGAAATAATTAAATACTTGAACTTTTTCCAGAAAGTTGTTTTACCGAAGATAAATGTTGAATTCAAACTTAAGAAGTAATTTGTTATTATTGTTGTTGTTCTTGTTCATAATAGTCTGATGATGATTCTTGCAGAAAAATGCAGAATTGAAAGTTGTAATTTAGCCACTAAATCACTAGATGGTATACAGTTCCTTTAAGGAAATATGCATCAGGAAATATGTGTAACAATGACTTTGTTGTCCAGTAGTTTCGTCAACTCTATTTATTTAATTATATTCATTTTTGCCAAAATTTATGTGTTACTACTACAGAATACTTTTTTATAAAGATTCTAAAAACTTCTTTCTACTGATATATAATAAAACAATGATTATCCAGATATTTAAAGATTAAAAATATATTAATTTTTCAATGCATAGTCTATTACCAGGTCTTTCTTGGAATGTAATGAATAACAATTATAATTTTAAAGATATTTGTAAAAGTATAAAGTTTATATTTACCAGTTCTTCAAATACCACAGAATATTAGTAGATTAATAGTAAAAACTGATGTTTAACCTAGTAATATTATATTTTCAATAACAGTCAATCTCTAGGCTAAATACTTTCAAATTATATTAAAAGTCCTAGACTATTCAAAACTTATTTACTAAACTGCATTCATTAATATTTTAAGCCTAATAAGATACTAGGGAAACCGGACAATCAGTAATGTCTGGGACTATTGAAAATCAAAAAGACACTTAATTGCTTAACTGATCATTGTTAAATTTTTGAAATATATTTCAAATTATAAACAATAAATTATCTTGACTACATTTTTAAGCAAGTTTCAAAAATCTTTTTGTAGATGGATGTAGATAATGCTATTCTTCTTTAATACCTACAGTGCAGATGTCTGTCATTGTCATAGATTTTTTTACTTTAAATTTGTAGAAAATGCCTTCCACATGCAGAAAAAAATGATTTATGGTTTAATATAGAAAGAAAACATGTTACAATTTAAATGTCTAATACTGACTTGGAAGTGAATTAATTTTAAAACACAACCTGAAGTTGGTTTTAAGAATTAAAATAGATATTGTTTTTATTTGCTTCTTATTAATTAACAAAACTGTATGGACTTCTGATTGCAGCCAAGATAGAGTGGCCTGATTTCTCTCTGTTCCTCAACATTATAACTAAAAAAAGGATAAATGCATTGGGCATAACACAACAAGGAAGCATAGAATGACCCTAATGAGTAGAAAAAAATATTAGGCAATCTAGGGGCCTTGTAATTTGAAGAATGACACCAGATTGAGTGCCCTTGATTTACTATTGATTTCCATATATACTTAACAAGAGTCCTGTAAAAGTTTATAACCTAGGTCATCCAAAGGTATATACATAAAGAGATGCAAGAAAAAACCTGTTTCTATTAGCCAAAGGGCTGAGAAAAGGGTATCCTAACACCAAGACTTTTTGGCTGTATGCATTCTACTTCAGCCAAATAACTTCCTCCCACTCTGTTGTTTAAATGAGACTAAATAAAGGAGAGATCTTTTTGCACAAACCAATGGCAAAGGAAAGCATAGGTACTTGCTCCTATTCCCTCATTATGTGGTACCGGTAGGGCCACACAGAGAGCTACTCTGCCATTTTCTGCCTGTCTGGCAGGGACAGAAAGCACTCTAATCCCTCTGTTAAGCATTGGTAGAGCTGGAAACACAGCAGATCTTCCAATTCTTGCCTGTCAGAAGCAGGCAGTTTCTTTCTACCCTCATCAGGATAGTGTCAGTGGGATCCAGTGAAAAGTTGAGCCTCTGCCCCCTCCTATTAGAAACAAGATTTAATAACCCAGGATGATGTAGAAGTAGGTGCCACTGTACTTCACCACTTCCCTCCTGGTGCCAGGGGGCCAACTGAAAAGCTGAACTTCCACCTTCATTTGGGATCGGTGAGAAATAAAGTAGTAGGAGGTGGGGATTTTTGGAACTGCAATTAATTTTTTTCCTTCCTCTCATGTGAGAGGAGCTCAGTAGGACCCAGTGGAGAGCTGAGCTGCTATGCAGACCTCATAGCAATAAAGCAATGTGAGTTTTTTCTCTGCTTAACCCTCCCTAGAGCATGCAGAACATAGAAGGGAGATGACCTTATACCCTTCACATGGAACAAACAAGGCTGTGTGTGCACTGTTTTTATTGTTTTGAAGTTATCAGAAGGAGAGAGAGAAGTAAATGTTCACCCTACCTATTGCAAAAGGCCGTATCATTCAGAACTTTACTTTTGCTGGGAAAGTATCAGTGGGCTCTAGGGGAAGCTGAACCTGTATACAAATTTAGACATCCCACCACACCTCCAAAGGAGAACTGCCAGCTAAAAAGAAGATTAAATAGAATCCAGAGTCTTATCTAATATTCAAATAGCCCAGGACACAATCATAAATTACTTATTATAAGAGAAATAGAGAAGTCACAACAGCAATAAGAAAAAAATAATAAATTGACAACAGCTATGTGGAATCAGGCTGAAATAAGCTAACAAGGATTTTTCATCTACCACCATAAAATGCTTTACCAAGTAGTAATAAATTCTCTTGGAACAAATTTTAAAAATAAAAGAAAGTCTCAACAAAATAATATGTTATAAAAAAGACTCGTGGAAAATAGAGAACTAAAAAATACAATAAATAAAATGAAAAAGAAACCTCACTACATGGGTTTAATAATTGAGTAAAAATTACAGAGGGTAGAATCAGCAAACTTGAGAGATGAATGTAATTTATCCTGTCTGAACAACATGGAGATAATATGTGAAAACACATCTTTATTCAATTTCTGAAACTTCCTAAAGACAGGAAAAAAAAAAAAAACCTTGAAGATAATCTCAGGGAAATTAGACATTATTTACAAGAAAAAAAAACAACAGTATAAATGGCTTTAGCTTTTTCACCTGAAATGGCGGAGGCCAGAAAGAATGGACCCAATGTTCTTTAGAAATGAAGAGTAAATAAAGGCATATTCACAAAAAGGAAAACTAAGAGAAATTATCACTAGAAAGCTTACCCTCAACAAATGACTAAAAGAATGTCTTCAAAAATAACAAAAATAATAAAATAAAAAATTTGAAAGCATTTGGGAAAAGGAAATCAGAAATACTAGTAACGTGGGAAAATACACACGTTATCTTTTTATTAGTTCCCTATATTTAAGTAGTGATTGAAATAAAAATTACAATATCATCTGAAATAAAATTATATGATATATTAAAAGTGAGGAAGGCATAGGGATATAAATGGAAGTACTTTCTCCACAATTTACATGAATTGGTAAAATGTTGATGCCAGTAGATATAGAGTGTAAGCCACATATGTATATTAGACAGATCAACTGGTAGGATAAACATATGAGACATTACATTTAAACATAAAATTAATTGATTAATATAGAATTTTAAAAGCTGTTTAAGTAATTGGCAGGAAGCCAAGAAAAGAGAAGCAGAGGA
This sequence comes from Homo sapiens, assembly GCF_000001405.40. Classification (NCBI taxonomy): domain Eukaryota; kingdom Metazoa; phylum Chordata; class Mammalia; order Primates; family Hominidae; genus Homo; species Homo sapiens. Next base: position 193,115,050 of record NC_000002.12, read on the forward strand.
AACAAAAAACAAAAGCCAAGAAAAGAAAAACAGGAAACAGAAATCTACTAGAATAAATATAAAAAAGGTTATGGAAGAACTGAACAACTCAATCAACCAACAATACCTAATTGAAATATATAGAATGCTCCACTTGAAAACAGAAATATATACTTTTTTTCCCCACGCATCCATTTAACATTTAGCAATTTAGAACATATCTTGGGACATAAAAAATATTAAAGTATTGACATAATACAGAATGTATCTTGTTATCATATGGAATTAAACTAGAAACAAAAACAGAAAGATAATACAAAAAAACAACAAACCCTTTAAACCCTTAGGGAGAAAAAAAGAGGTAAAGAAAGAAGTATCAAAATAATGTTTTAGAAAATATATGGAACTATATGAAAGTAAAATATAACATTAAAATGTGCAGAATTAAACTAAAACAATGCTGATAACATCAGAAAAACAAATTATGTAATATTGTTATTATAAATGGAGAAAGGTAGTAATTAAATAATCTAATGCCATATAGTCTTAGTTCTAGGAAAAAGCAAAATAAACTTAAAGTAAACAGAAGGATGCAACTAATTTAGATCAAAACAGAAATCAGTGAAATTGGAACAGAAAAATAATAGCAAAACAAAATTTTAAATCATCAAAAATTTTCTAAAAATCCATAAAATTGCTAAATCTCTACCAAGACTGACAAATGCAAAAGAAGAGAAGACATAAATAACCAATATTAGGAATGAGACAGGAGATATCACTACATATTCTGCAGCAGTTAAAATAATGTAAGGAATATTGACCATAATATTCACTCATAAATTCATGACTTTGAAGAAGTGGATCAATTTGTGAAAATTCACAAGCTACCTAATTTCAAACTAAGATGAAATAGACAATGTATATTCTTCCATATTTATTAGGGTTATTTTATTCATCATTAAAAACTCTCCAAATACTAACAGATGGTTCTAACAAACACTTAAATTAGAATTAATGCCAACTTTATACAATGTCTCCCAGAATATAGAAGAAATAAGAACATTTTCCAATTTGTTTTATGAGGTCAGTATAACACGGATACCAAATTAGATAATGAAAATGCACAAAAAAGAAAATACAGTCTAATATTTCTAATAAACTCAGACAAAACTCCTTAAAAAATCTTGACATGGCCTGGCGCGGTGGCTCACGCCTGTAAGCCGAGCACTTTGGGAAGCCAAGGCGGTTGGATCACAAGATCAGGAATTCATGACCAGCCTGGCCAACATAGTGAAACCCCGTCTCTACTAAAAATACAAAAATGAGCTGGGCACGGTGGCAGGCACCTGTAATCCCAGCTACTCAGGAAGCTGAGGCAGGAGAATTGCTTGAACCCAGGAGGTAGAGTTTGTAGTGAGCCAAGATGGCACCACTGCACTCTAGCCTGGGCGACAAAGTGAGACTCTGTCTAAACAAAAAAAATCTTGACATCTAATCCAGCAATGTCTACAAAAATTATATACTATGATCAAGTGAAATTTATTTTAGGTATGCAAAGCTGGTTCAATATTTGATAATAAATAAATTTAATTCACTAGATCTATAGGATGAAGAAGAGAAAGATAAATTATGTGATTATTTCTACTGACATATAAAAATTATTTGACAAAAATTCAGCATATATTCACAATTAAAACTCTGCAAATTATGTTCACAGGATTCTTTTCTACTTTATAGAGATTATTAACAAAACAACTATAGTTCATATTTTATGATGAAAGACTGAATGATTTCCTTCTAAGATCTGCAACAAAGCAAGGATGTCCCCTTTATTACTCTTTTATTCAACATTGCAATGGAAGTTCTAGTCGATGCAAAAGACATGAAACAAAAAGTCATACAGAGTAGAAAGAAAGGAGTAAAACAGATTAGAAAGAAAGGGATCAAACTGTACCTACTTGTAGATGACATTACAGTCTACATAGAAAATTTATATAAATATCTACCAAAAAATGCTAGAACTAACAAATGTATTCAGCAAGGCTGCAGGATAGATGACCACACAAAAATCAATTGCATTTCTATGTAGTAACAATAAACAAACGGAAATTTATCTGGAGCTGAGCTGAGCTGGAAAGAGCTGGGCTGTCATGTGTTCCATTTTGTGATGGAGTGATAGTCAAGGTTAAGGTAGATCAGCACAGATGTGGGTGTTCATCTAACTTTTGAAGGAGTATTGATCAAAAGGCTCCTGTACTTTTATGAACCTTGTGGACAGGAGAAAGAAAGGGGGAGAAAGCTAGGAATGGAAAAGTACTGAATACTGAGTTAGAGTGGATAAAATTGTCTGCAAGATTTTCTACTCCTCCTCCAATGTAAAGGCCTCAACAGAGAAACGTGAGAAAGGCATTTGGTAAGTGCCCTACATAAAGAGAAATAAAAAGAAAAGTTTCTGGACTCAGAGTGCAATTATGCTAGAGAGGTCTAAATCTTGACTGCAACTCTCTTCAGAGACTGCAACACATTGGCTGTGCACCAAGCCTGATGTGAGAAGAATAACTTTCCCTCATGAGGCGTGCCAGGCAAAGGCTTTTTAATTACATATAGTTGGGCCTGAAACATATTACACATCCATTTTTTGACCAAGAGTCAAACTCCTTAGTAACGGAAGTGAAAACACAATGCCAGTTACAATTGCTTCCTCTCACCATGCCTCAGATGAGGTATCTAACAATTAATCTAACAAAACATGTACATGATGAATATATTAAAATTTCAAAATACTGATGAAAAAAGAATTTTTAAGACTGAAATATACATGTAGATGCAAACCATATTCATGGATTGGAAAATTTAACAGAAGATGTTGATTCTGCTGCAATTCCTACCAATCACCAGTGCTTTTGTAGACACTGTAGTTTGATGGGTGCCCCACCGGGTTACTAAAGGGTACATGTCTGCTGCCTGGACCCTAAATGCTGAGCAGTGAGCCAAGGCTGTGGTGCTCAGCTAAGAGCAGGTGTCTCTGAGAATCCAAACTTACCAGAGAATATCTGAGAATCCACCAAGCAAAACAGTCCCGTCGCACACATCATAGGCAAAGAGCCAGAAAATTAGCTTAAAAGCGGCTTACAGATAGATAGTGTATCTCTAAAGCTCTCCAGGAGTGCCTTGTATGTGAGTGCCAATAAACTCATCTACCCACCAACCTGGACTTATCCAAATCATTGTTTGGTCTCTTGGTTCCCTTCTAGTTTGGGGGAAAGTTTTTTCTCTTTTTTTTTAAATATGGTTCTGAGTTTTTCTCATTACAGACGTAGAGAGACTTATCTTAAAACATATGTGAAAAAACAGAATTTTGAAATGAAAGACTAAAGTTGGAAAAATCATCCTAACTAATACTAGCACTTATTATACAGCTATGGTCAAGAGTGTGGTGTTCTTGGAGGGACAGACATATTGATTAACATACTCATAAGTAGACACAAATATGTCCAACTGATTTGTTTTACAAACACATTCAGTATAGATCAGGTGGCATTTTCAACAAAATGCACTACAGCAATTCATTATCCATAGGCAAATACATAAATCAATAGGAGTGTATACATATATATCACTCATGTAAAAATTTTATGAATCATGGATTCAAAGATTATTGATTTAAATATAAGACATAAAGCTATAATATTTTTAAGAGGAAAAAATAGGAGAAAATCTTGGGAACTAGGCCTAGATAAAGAGTTCTTGTACATGACACTAAAAATGTGATTCACAAGAAATCAAATTTATAAATCTGACCTCATCAATATTAAAAATTTTGCTGTCAATAGACCTGGTTAATAAAACAAAAGACAAGCACAAAAGTAAGAATAATGTGGAATATACAAAGTACTCTCAAGATTCCACAGTAAAAATCATTTGAAAAAGAAACTTATCAAAAGACATGAAGAGACATTATGCATAAGAACATGTAAAGATGGCAAATAAATACATAAAATGTGTTTAACATTATTAGCCATTGGGGAAATGTATACTGAAATACCAATGATATATCACTACAAACCTATTATAACAGCTGAAAATATATCAACACTACCAAATGCTGGTGAGGTTGTGAAGAAACTGGATCACTCCTATACTGCTGGTGGGAATACAAAATATTACAGCCACTTTGGAAGACAGTATGGCAGTTTCTTACAAAACTAAACATGCATTACCATAAAACCAACTATGTGCACTCTTGGGCACTTATTTCACAAAAATGAAAATTCATATTCACACAAAGTCCTATACACAAGTTTTCACAGAACCTTTATTTGTAATAGCTATAAACTGGAATACAACCAAATGTCCTTCAATAGGAAATGCTTAAATTACCTGTGGTACATTCATACCATAGGATACTACTCAGAAATGTAAACTATTGATACAGGCAAGCATTTTAATGGATCATGTCTTGCAAAGAATAAACATCCAAAAATGTCAGTTGTTATTCTTTTTTCACATGCCTGTTACTACAACTCAGTATGGGGCTACAAAATTTCAATGTTTTATGTTTTGCCTTATCAAACTTCAAAGTAATGCCTAACATATAGTGGACATTGAGTGTACTTCCATCAAGACCAAATGTATGAGAGAAAAACAGATGCTATTATATAATTTTTCTTTTTTTTGGTCCTCTAATACAAATTCATAAAGCCTGTTATTTAACCTCATTGAGTTTTGACTTTCTGCTAAGTTAAAAAATATATTTTCATTCTGTTGTTGAGTACTATATACTGCACTTATTTTTAAAGAAATACTCATAAATGTGGAAGTAAATATACATGTGTATATACTTATGCGGCTGTACTTTTAATATCAACTCATGAATTAAATCCTGCTCTACTTTAAAAAATATGTTATGCTAAATTGTTTTCAAATCAATCAGTGACTTCCTTCTCTGAGGTCAAAGACAGTTTAAATTCAAATATCAGTAACTCATTGTGAGCATCAACGAATGCCAGCTAATTTTAAAGGAAATAGCATTGACTTCAGTTGCTCTAACATGCTTTAATATAGTATTGGAATTTCCATTTGATGATTGAGAAATTTGACATGGAAAGCAGTAAAATAATTGGTGCAAATTTCATACTAAAAGGAGACCGAGGCAGGATTAAACCAGTGGTGTGCAGGTGAATGTTTAGCAACCAATTGTCTTGGGTAAGGACAGGGAAGGCTGGGAAAGATCCCTGGTTTGGTGACATTTGCTGTGCTGGTAAAGTCACTGGACACTGAGAAAGAAAGAGATGTGCACAATTGGTTTTCACAAACAGGTATAAAGCAGCTCCAGCATGCTAGTGAATAACTTCTGCTCTTTTAACCATCCGTCCTACACTTAGTTTTGGCATGTACACTTTTCTTGATTAATTTGGCATCCTAAATCCCACTTTCCTGATTCTATTAAATCCAGTCTTGCTTAGTGCATGATACTAAAAATACATACAACAAAAAAGAAACATATTGCATTTTATTGTCTATGGGCAAGAATAGTTTTTTTGTTGTTGTTTCTACTTAGGCAGAAGATGAATGGATGCATTGCTTGCAGTATTTATACTATGTTACATTCATTTGAATGTTTCATTATTAAATACGATGAAATTAAACTACCTAACTATCTATGTGTATGAGTACCAACATATACATATATCCATACATATACATTTACATATGTGACTCCATGATAAGGTAAATTTCTAATTAAATTTCTTGTGAATCACAATACATACTTGGGGACTATCCTAAATTACCTTAAACATCATTTACCTCAAAACATTGGAGTGAGGAACTTAAAATTACCAAATTAGTTTCCAATTCACACTTTTATTGGATAATTTTTATACTAGGTAATTTTATACGAATTGTGAAGACTCTAATAAAAATGTTTAGCAAAGCAATATATTTTTCTATGATACTTATCACCATCCATTGGCAGTAACTTTCTATTAATTTGATATTTAATTCAACCTGTGGTCATTTTTGTAATTGATTTTTGGCCCTAAGATAAATGTTCCCAAACATCTTGCTAATTTTTTCAGCTGATTATTTTAAGAGAATAAAGACAATACAATTGTTTCTAACTACCCTGAAACTATCTTGCTCTATAAAAATGTGTGGTTTAATTGTTCTGTTACTGAGCACTTTTTGTTTCCCATGTAACAATGGTGAAAGTTTAGAAAAATTATATTTAATTTTAAATAATTTAATCCTGAACATAAAAGCCATTAATCAGCTGTTATTGGTTGCTTAATCGTGATTTTTTTTCCAAGTAATGCTTAAAAACCCTCATATACTTGTGGTTCCTTGGAGGATGCAAAGACTCAATGCATGATGAATTTTTGCCTTATTTATTTTTAAATACACCTGAGCCCAGTTGGAAATAAATTAGGATTGCTGATATATAAGTGGTTTAGAGAGTCAAGTGAAGCTTTCAAATTCATTTTCTTTTTTATTTTCTGCTTAATTTTTAACATGGGGATGATTAAATGTATTTTCTTTACAAAGAAAACAGATCACACTAGGGTTCCTTGTGTTAACCAATGAACACAAGGGCATCGACATTTCCATTAGTCAATCTTAGTGTAGTAATTTGACTTTCCCCTCATTTTAAATAGGTTTATAAAAGTTTGTCACTTATTAAATTGTCTTTTAAAAAATAATTGCCATGGGATATATGAAAGAAGTGAAGACAATGGAACATTTGTTTAAATTGAACATAGCCTTAGCTAAATAATGAGACCTCACTTCTACGTTTAATTTCAGGACAACTTTTCAAACAAATTTACGCTACTTGTTTTATGACATCTAACAGATAAATAGTTGTGGGCATTAGTATGCAATGCTAAAATTCTGTTTGAAAGAGTCTTTATATTTTTTTGTCAACCAGAAAAATATTTTGGAGGAGGAACACGATTTCATTCCCATAACTCAAATGTAGTTTTGCTCTCAACGTTGTATAGAGTATAGAGGGAAAAAGATCAGATGTAAAAAGTAAATGTGGCAAAGTGTTAACAACTTGTGAATCTAGGTGAAGAATGCATGGGAGACCATTATACTATATTTGCGATGTTTCTAAGTGCATTTTTAAAATTGAAAATGCAGGTCTTTTCAAAGTGAAACAGAACAATGCCATTATCACATGCTTCTGCTGTGTGTTGGCCCTAGCTCTAGCCTTGTGGGATGTGCTGGTCGTAGGGTAAGGTTAAACATGGCGAGCATGGGCAAAACTAGACATATATAGACATATAGCTAATCTGTTCACTTATTGAGTAAATTCCAGAGATGGAATGTCTGGGTCAGGACATGTAAGTCATTTATCAGGTTAAAATGTGCGATAAATTGGGGAATGAATAGGAAATTGACAAGAGCTAGTGAAGCCAGGCAAATCTAATTGCTTGATAAGTAAACCAGAGAGAACCTGGGTCCTCACAGAACAATCAGGGATACCTAGGATACAGGTATGATCTCAACAATCTCAAGAGTTCTGAATTCCAGTTCTCATGCTTCTCGTGCCCAGTTGCAATTCTGTTACCTTGGGAATACTCTTAAAATGCAAGAGTTGTTAATGTCTCTAAACATTAGTTTTCACACACACAAAAATGCAAATGACAATACCTAATGCAATTTATTCTGTGAAAACTGAAAGAAATATATATACCCAGGACCTCCTGGAGCCTGTAGGCTCCTAGAAGAGTACAAGTTACATTGAGAGAGTCTATAAAAGCCTCAGCATTGCAACTGTGACAACCCCAGTGGGTTTTGTCTTCTCGAATCCCTAAAATATGAGACACTTCCAATAGAATGTTTTATATTTTGGTATCTGAACTATTGTTTTATGTTGTCTAAATTTTTATTTCTTGTTTTTTTTTGTTTGTTTTGAGAAAAGAGCAAAAGCAAAACCATAGAATTTTAAAATGTCATAAAATTTTTAAGGAAGATCTGGGAGAAATAATCATGTCTTTAACCTTTAAATACATGTTTTCAATCTGAGATGATAGACACATGATCTATCAGCATACACTCAAAAATGTTTATTTTCGTAATATCACTTTTTAAAAATACTTTGCATAATCATACTCAGTAATGTATATTGAATATATTAAATTTTCTGATGGACTTAGAGCACAGAAATGTTGCCAAGTTGTAAAAGAAAAAGTAACCACTAATAATATATTGTATAGTCTACAAAGGAAGCAATAGGATTTATTTTTAATCAATATTTTATCATATTATTATCTCATGGTTACCCTGTTGATTACATTTTTTTTTAAATAGTACATTTACAACATTTTTCTACTTTCTTTTTTCTCTCTGGTCATTGTCGTTATGACTAGATTCACCACAGTGTAAATCTTTAGTTTGAGATGTTCCTTCAAATCTCTCTTCTACATTAGAAATAACTAGGAATAGAAGATGGTAGAAAAATGAAATTGTAATAACAATACATTTTATAATTGTATAATTGTAATTATTTTTAATAAATTCATTTTGAACATAATTATAACAAGTCAGCTTATATCTGATTTTTCAGGCATCTGTGGGAATACAGTATCTATATCAGTTACTGACTCAACTCTCCCCATTTGATGATACTAGGCACACTAATTTTGCAATGTAACAATATCCAATTTTTTTTCTTTTTCCAGAAAAGATGATAAATTATGGCCAAAGTAAATACTGCTCTATGGTAATATATCTTGCTGGCAGTGTATAACCATGGCCATATTTGTAAGTACTGTAAAATGTATGCACAGTCTCTACTGGAGAATGGGAACCCTTACCTGAATGGAAGGGAGTATTTGCCCAGAATTTTGAAGAGTTGAAGAATTATACAAAGTCAGGTGAACATAACAAAGTAGAACCAACCTATACTTTAACTGGTCATACAACTTCTCAGATATTTACGTAAGTTTTGGGGCTAATTAAAATAAATTGATATAGTTTTTCAATATCAATTCACTTCAAAATACATTAAATTTATGTTAGGTTTGATTAAGAATGTTAAACTGTACAAATAGTCTTAACTGTATAATAATGTCTAAGGAAAATTTATTGTGTAGCAAAATTTATTTGTGGTCATTTTACTTGACTTTTATCTATACACTTAAATTACATAGGTGATTCAATTCTAAAACTGTTAACACTTTGTAAATACAAAAATAATTATAAAATAACCATAATTCCTGAGGGCTTTTATAAAAGTTTTATTCACTCTAAATCTTAAATAAACTTCCAATAAGAAAACATTTCAAAGTATATAGTAATTTCATAGAAAATTATAGTTTATAGTATTAGAATTCTTACAGAATATATTCTAACCACTGTTCAAGGCATACAAAGTATAACAAACAAATAATTTTAGGAGTATTAAATTACTGAAGAATTTAAATATTTTTATTTGTTTTAATTGCTTCATTATGTAAGCAATTAAAAGTGTAAATACTGTTTTTTTCTGTTGTAGAAGGCCTTTTGAAATATTTGAAGATGTAATTTATCAAATGAAAATCAACGTCAATGAAAAGAAATCACATATTTTGTCATAAGACAAAATTAAATGACATACCAAAGAGATGTAGAATCATTTATGGAAAACAGAGTATAGATAATTATAATAAACACTGTCTAATATATATGTTCATTTTAAGATGATGTCTATGGACTGAATGTGTCTTCCTAATATTCATGTGCTAAAACTCTTTTTCCAATGTGATGATATTCAGAGTTGTAACTTTTGGGAAAAAATTTGGTCATGAGTGTGGAGCACTCATGATAGGATTAGTGTAATTTAAGAAGAGCCAGGAAAGAACTTGTTTCCTCTCTCTCTCTATCCACCATACCAGAATACAGCAAGAAGGCATGCATCTGTAAACCAGGAAGAGAAACCTCACAAGGAACTGAATTTCCTGGCTCCTTGATCTTGGACTTTGAAGCCTTCATATCTGTCAGGAATAAATTTCTGTTTATGCCAACCAGTCTGTGGTATTTTTATTATGGCAGATCAAATAGACTAAGCCAGTCACTGTGTATATACAGAATGGACTTTTCACACAAGACTTGGTCCACACATGCACCAAGAAGAAATGAAGTGATTTGTTACTGATATAATGAGATTTTCTGGGAGAGCAGATCAGGATCCCAAGCATGTCTGAAAAATAGTCTGAAGGAGCAGGGAAGGAATACTGGCCTGGGCTTTCTTGTGCTCAAATTGTGAGGCTTGGTAAGGGATTTTACACTGACCATGACTTGAATGTTCTGAAATTTCTGTTACTGCAGAGTGAAGAAACATGGAGCTTTTGTATTGGTTTGTGCAGAATGTGGGGCAAGAGTGGAAGAGGGAAGGGTGATGACTGAAAGTTGTCATAAAACGTCAAATATAGAGTAACACTTTTTGCTAAAATTTACCTTTGAAATTTGACTGATTATTGAAATGGGCCAGGTGTTATGATATTGAATTTTCAGTTTGTTAAGTAAGCCATTTTAGCACTCTACAAGGGATAAGAGTTGCTCTCCTTTCAATGATTCACTTGGTCCTATGAAGTCTCTGATCAAATATCACTTTCTTAGAGGGTTTATCCATGAAAGCTCTACCTGAAAGAGAACTCCTTATGCTAGTTGCCTTCTAGTACTTTTTGTCTCCCTCTCTCTTTATTGTACTTCCTGGGATTAGATTATACATCTTTCAAAATTGTTTGATTTCCCCAATACAGTGTAAGATCTCTGAACCCAGAAATTCTATTTTGTCACTTTTATATTCATAGCTGAAAAAATAGGGCCTGAAGCTTAATGAATGACATTTAATGATTAAATCAATAAGAGATGGAGGAGACTACATCAACTTGAGCAATAAAAGACGAAGTTAGTCTTATAAGAGGTTATAGGGAAAGAAGCTATGGGAAGTGATTTTCTCTAATTGGACATTAACAGTGAAACCTATTAATCTAGCTGCCAGTCATTAAAATTGCTATAGGTTATAATTGCCATTGTTCATAAGGTATCTGGTGAAGAAAAAGAAAAAAATAAATTACTTGGGCACACTAGGCAAGCAAGCCAACAATACAGAAAAATCTGACTCCTTTATTTTCAGCACAAAGGAAATATGAAATAGACTGGTGGAACTAAGTTATCTATTTCTTTTTTTGTAAGTTTCTCTGAAAAATTTCCAGTTAAATATTTCTTCAAAATATTTAGATATTTCTCCATGCTTATAGGTAGTCTTGAGGTGGAGAAAAAAATGAGTGAATAGATAGATAGATAGATAAATAAATAAATAAATAAATAAATAAATAAATAAATTTGTCTCCAGAGTTCTTTGCTTTACTAAAATTTGCATTGATTTAGCTTTTACTGAATTAACAATTAAATATTTTACAATGTTCTCAACAAGTTATAGAAATACCTTTTTCTTGTTGCCTGCTACTTCACCTATTGAGATTTTCTTAATGATTCAGAGGTAATTGTAGTTAGCTTCTCCTAATTGTGTGTTTGGTGTTTGATATAAAAGAGAAAACTTAATGGATATAAATTTCTTCATCTGAGGGGAAAGAGGACCATACAGTGAAATGAGTATTTTATTTCTGTTATTTTCAAAAAGTCATAAAATGAAAACAAAGTTTTATTCATATTTATCTTCATAGGAAAGTATCATTGTATATGTTATAACAACCCTACGAAAGCACAAAATTTTAAAATTATATTGAACTCGTTAATGGGAATTTAAAAATAGATAAAAAAGAGTGATATCTTATGTAAATTCTAACATAATACTTACCAAAGGATTAATTTTAAATATTTGTGTATTGCAAAATTGATTATATAAACATCAGAGATTAGTTTCCTATATAATTAGTTTCATAAAGGACTAATATTGACAACAAATTTATTACAAATGCTTATATAAATACATAACTGTGGATCATACATAATAATTCTATATAATATATGTATTTTTAAAATTCAGGCACATTTTTATTTATCCAAAACATCTACGGTTACGATATACATTTGGCTTTAAAATAAACTTAAATATCAGGAGTGCAATAAAAAAAATCCTTTTGTATTTTACTTATGTAAACTAGGATTTATTTTAGAACAATTTAATGCTAACTTAGTAGGTATTATTGACTGACTAGATCTCTTTTATAATGGCTATTAATCATTAGGAGAATGATTAATTTGAATGTGTCAGGGATGTTTCAAAACATCTGATAGGGATATATGTTTATATTCATATGTATATACATTTTTAATATACATATTTTTTCTTCTATCTTGTCAGCTTATATATATATGGCTATAAATGAATATAGTTATAGTGTATATATAACTATAAATGCATAATGAGTCTTATTTTATGTCTTAGTTTTTTAATTTTCTTTTTCTACCATTAGTGTTGAAAACTAGTCTTTCTCCATAGACAGTATAAAAGCATTATAACATATAATATTACCATTAAACCAAGAAAACTTTGAAAGCAAATATTGTATTTGCATTTCAAATATTGCAAATATTGTAATATGCATTTTTAGCTTTCCCAGACCTAGGAGAGGGCCTGAAAAAATATATATATTTTTGACTAAATACTGACTACCTTAAACAAAATATTTCAACCATTGTGTTTATATTGAACATAATAGAAGTTAAATGCTTTTTATTTTGTTTTGGAAAGCAACACATAAAATATAGAAAATTTAGAGCATATCTTCACATTCCAATATTTTAAAAAATATTTTACTTAGTCCTTTCCTACAAAAACTAAAACAAAGCCATATTCTGTGCCCAAGTCAATCAATAGAAGTAAACACACCATTTTTTGCTTTATTTATGGAGAGCATTCAAAATTTTCATTTACATTTCAAATTGAAATATATCATTTGGAAGTTTCATTTTATCAAATTTTTTATTAAATGAAGTTTCTTAAAATTGACATCATTTCATTATTCCTTAAAATGCAAAGTAAATAAAACTTTTGTGTAGTTCTAGCAAATGCAATTGTAAGAAAACACATTTCTATGTGCATTAGAGCAAGGACAGCTAATTAGCTGATTCTAAGATAACAAAGATTTTTTTCTAAGATTAAGAAAAATGTGGTAGTTACATGAAACTTCCACAGAATCTGGCTACAGATGTGATTATTAGAGAGTTGAATTGATGTCATTAAAATATTTTAAAATATGGCACGTTTTAAAATTTAATTCAAGTGTACCTTCTACAAGAATAAAAATTTTAAGAGTCAACGTTGAATATTTTATCATAAATATTTTCAAAATTTTTTTAAAATTCAAAACAAACACATTACTATTTAATGCATATATTGTTTAAAGAATGTTGCATGATGGTCTACAGCACCTTAAGTTACATAGGTATGTTTACTGAATTCAATTTTCTATTCATCTAAAAAGTATATGAATGACATGACTCAAGGTTAAAAATTGAGAAAAAAACTAAATTATTTCAATCAGCTTTTATTTTATTAAATAAGTATGTATTGTAATATATTTATATTGCTTTTGCTGATAAAAGGAAAAGAATGTAATGTTCATATTATATATGAGACAAGTTAGTAATAAACTGTACTATGACATTTGGCTTTAGCCTTTAAAATAAACTGGATATAAATAAACTTTATATTTGAAACCCCAAATTAATATGAATCTTTTCAGATTTAAAAGCTTTTTTTTATTTTCTCAGTAGTGCTGTTTCTATATAAAGAAATGCAATATTTTTACTTTAAAAAATAAGCCAAATATACTCCTAGTCTAATTGAAATCAAAAGCCCATTTGTTTTTATTATAGTTGATTAATATACTAACAAATAGATCTTTTGGGGGTTGTTATATATTGTAGATATGTTGCTAAGTGATTATAACAATATGTAGATATGATATTAGGTATTTTATACCTAATATTTAAATTATACCTAAAGTTGAAGAAAACTTCATATATATTTTCCCAAAATACTTTATATATACTATATGCATATATTTCCAACAGTGCTATATATGTATATTTACCACTATTGGAAAAATTTATGATGAACTGTTATCTGTGGAATTAAAACAGTAAGAAATAAAGCTCTAGTTGTTTGCAAGATATTCCATTCTCTAAATGAACACTATAAGGCAGCAGGTCTAAAATATGGCCATACCAGTGGATAACCTGCTAGAGTCATCATGATTACTTGTTAAAATGAATACCCCTGGGCCTATGGTAGACACTGACTCATAATATCTTGGATTATTTAACATGCATTTTGAACATATTTTTTATTAAGCTTTACATCATTAAAATTTGAGAAAATATTAGAAAGCATATACCGTCTTACATTTTACTCAAGGTTATTCTCTAACTGTGACTTAATGGCAAGTTTTAAAACTGTGTACAGTACTGCTATTTTAACAACTTATTTTGCAAGATTGTTTGGTCTCTTCTTATTTCATTGATTTCCACATACAATTTTGAATAAGCCTATCTATGTTCATAAAAGTCTGCTATAATTTTGGCTGAAATTATATTAACTCTGTGGTTCAACTGGGCAACCAATGACACCTTAACTACGTTGAATCTTTCAGTCAATGAACATGTTGTGACTTTCCATGTATTAGGTCTTTTAACTGTGTATACTACGTCATGGCTAAACTTGCATATTAATTCTAATGGATGTATGTGCATGTGTGTGTGTGTGTGTATTATTTGAAATGTTTTCTACATAGGCAATCGTATTTTCCCTGAAGTGAAATAATTTTATTTATTTCCAATATAAATGCCTTTTATTTCATTTCATTTTATTACCCTAGCTATTACTTCCAATATAATGTTGAATATGAGTGGTGATAAAAGACATCCTTGCCTTGTTCTTGACAGTATAGGAATAACACATTCTGTCTTTTAAGTATAATAGTAGCTGTAGTTTTTAGAGACATTTTTAATAAGTTCAAAGAAGTTGCTAAACTATTTAGTAGTTTTCTAAAATATTAATCATAACAATGCTAAATTTTGTCATTTGCTTTTTCTGCATCAGTGGAGATGATCATGTGCTTTTCTACTGTTATTTTATCTGATATGTGGTGAATTTTGTCTTGAAATATGAAAAAGCCATGTACTTCTGGGAAGAAAAACACTTAGCTTTTATGTATTTTTCTTTTTGTACATTGCCAGATTCAATTTTCTAATATTTTTGTTTATATTTTTCAGCCTACATTAATGAGATGACAAGTCATACTTTTTCTTTTGTAATACCCTCATCTGGTTTGGTATCAGTGTTATAGTGGCCTCACTGAATTAACTGATAAATGTGCTACTTTTATTTTCTGAGAGAGAAAGTGAAGAACTGTTGTCATTTGTTTTTCAAATGTTTGTTGGAATTCACTGTTGAAATCATTTGGGCCTTTAGTTTTCTGTTAGGAAAGTATAAAATTACAAACTCAATCACTATATTAGTCTGTTCAAAGTCTCCTATAAAGACACACCTGAGACTGGGTAATTTATGGATAAAAGAGATTTAATTGACTCAGTTCTACAGGAAGTACATAAAGCATGGCTAGGGAGGCCTCAGTAAACTTACAGTCATGGCAGAATGCAAAGGGGTAGCAGGCTCAAACTTCACATGGTGGAGGAGGAGAGAGAGCAAAGGGGAAAATACTACATGCTTTCAAACAACCAGATCTTATGAGAACTCACTCATTATCATGAGAACAGCAAGGGGGAAAATCTGCCTCTATGATCCAATCACCTCCCACTAGGTCCCTCCCCCAAAATTGGGAGTTATAATTCAACATGAGATTTGGGCAGGGATACAGAGCCAAACAATGTTATTCAGCCCCTGGCCCCTCCCAAATCTCACATCCTTCTCACATCTCAAAACACAATTATGCCTTCCCAACAGTCCCCCAAAGTCTTAACTCATTCCAGTATTAACTCAAAAGTTCAAGTTCGAAGTTTTATCTGAGAGAAGGCAAGTTCCTTCTGCCCTTTCCCTTTGGTAACATCAAAAACAAGTTAGTTACTTTCAATATACAATGGGGGTACAGGCATTGGGTAAATGCCCCTGTTTCAAAAAGAAGAAATTGGCCAAAACAAAGGTGCTACAAACCCCATACATGTCTGAAATCCAGAAAGGCCATCATTAAATCTTAAAACTCCAAAATAACGTACTTTAACTGCATGTCTCATATCTAGGACACACTGATGCAAGGGGTGGCCTCCCAAGGCCTTGTGCAGCTCTGTCCCTGTGGTTCTGCAGAGTACATCCCCTGCAGCTGCTTTCACAGGCTGGTGTAGAGTGCCTGCAGCTATTCCAGGTGCATGGTGCAAGCTTTCAGTGGATCTACAATTCTGGGGCCTAGAGGATGGTGGACCTCCTCTCACAGCTCCATTAGGCAGTGCCCCAGTGGAGACTCCGTATGGGGGATCCAACCCCACATTTTCCTTCTGAATTGCCCTAGTAGAGATTCTCCATGAGGACTTCACTCCTGCCACAGACTTCTGTCTGGACATTCAGGTGTTTCTATACCTCCTTTGAAATCTAGATGGAGGCTTCCAAACCTCAACTCTGGCTTTCTCTGCACCTGCAGGCCCAACACCACATGGAAGTCACCAAGGTTTGGGGCTCGTACCCTCTGAAGCAATGGCCTGAACTTTACCTTGGCCGCTTTTAGCCATGGCTGGAGCTGGAGCAGCTGGGATCCAGAGTACCATGTCCCAATTCTGCACAGAGCAGCAGGACTCTGGGCCTGGCTCAGGAAACCATTTTTTCCTCCTAGGCCTCCAGGTCTGTGATGAGAGGGGCTTCCTTGAAGGTATCTCAAATGTCCCAGAGGCATTTTCCCCATTTTCTTGCCTATTAACATTTGGCTCTTCTTTACTTATGCAAATTTCAAGAAACAGGTTTTTCTTTAATATCACATGGTTGGGCTGCAAATTTTCCAAACTTTTATGCTCTGCTTCCCTTTTAAGTACAAGTCCTAGTTTCATGTCATTTGTTTATGCAAATGAGGATAGGCTTTTAGAAGCAGCCAGGCCACATCTTGAATGCTTTGCTCCTTAGACATTTAGCTGCCAGATAGCTTAAATCATCTCTCTCAAGTTCAAAGTTCCACAGATTCCTAGGATAGGGGCATAATGCTGCCAGTCTGTTTGCTAAAGCATAGCAAGGGTGACCCTTAATCAAGTTCCGAATAAGTTCCTCATCTCCATCTGAGACCACTCAAACCTGGACTTTATTGTCCATATTGCTACCCGCATTTTTGTCAAAACCATTCAACAAGGCTCTAGGAAGTTCCAAATTTTCCCTCATCTTCTGTCTTCTTCTGAGCCCTCCAAACTGTTCCAACCTCTGCCAATTACCCAGTTTCAGAGTTGGTTCCACATTTTCAGATTCTCATTATAGTAGTGCCCCACTCTTTGTGCCAATTTTCTGTATTTGTTCATTTCCATACTGCTATAAAGACACACCTGAGACTGGATAATTTATAAACAGAAGAGGTTTAATTGACTCACAGTTTTGCATGGTGTGCCGGAGGCATGGCTAGGGAGACCTCAGGAAACTTACAATCAAGGTGAAAGGCAAAGGGGAAGCAGACATAATCTTCACATGTTGGAGTAGAAGAGAAAGAGAGAGAATGGGGACATGTTACACATTTTTAAACAACCAGATTTTATGAGAACTCATTTATTATCACAAGAAGAGCAATAAGGAAATCCAACCCTATGATCCAATTACCTCATACCAGGTCCCTCCCTCAACATTGGGAATTACAATTCAACATGAGATTTGGGTGGGGACACAGAGTCAAAATTTATCAGTCACTATTAATAGATATATGACCATTCATATTATTAAGTTATTGAGTAATATACTGAGTAATTTTTGGTGGTTTCTGTCTTTCCAGAAATAAGCAAATTACATCTACATTGTCAAAATTAAGAACATAGAACTGTTTATCTTATTATCTTATTATTCTTTTAATATCAATGGTATCATTAGTGATATGCCCTCTTTCACTCTTTTTAAAATTTACTCTTTCTTTTAGGTTAAACCCTCTTCTTACCTTGATTTAAAACATTTGTGACATTTTATTCTTGGTCATCCTAGATCTATTAGTTTTTATAGCCTATATTTTAAATCTCTGTTGGTACATACATATAGCAATGATAGTAATCTCTCTTTTCGGAGAACTGACGCTTTTATTATCATGTAATGTTCTACATTCTTGGAATATTCTTTGTTCTAATATCTGCTTTATCTGAAATTAGTATAACTAAACCAGCTTATGATTAGTGTATATTTTTCTCCATATAATTCATTTTTACCCATTTATGTATTTTTATTTAACGTTTCTTGTATACAACTGATAGTTGTGTCTTACTTTTTAATTTTTATTATTTTATTTGATCACCTCTGGCTTTTAACTTGTGTATGTAAATGATTCACATTCAAATGATTATTGAATTAAAATCTATTATCTCACTATTCTATTCATGTTATTTCTTTTTAATGTTTGGCCGCTTTATGCATTTTTCTTAATTCTATTCATGTTCTCCATTAATCATATGGAATTATAATATACAGTCTAAATACTGTGAGTCTAATTCCAAATAATATTTTATCATTTCATGTATGGTATAAGAACCTTATAATGGATTATCTCCAATTAATCTCATTTCTGTGCTGTTGTCAAAATTTCTCATTTGAATGTTGTGTAAATACATAATACATTGTTGAATATTAAAATAACATGGTTATTCTCAATTTATTATGTATTATAGGACATGGAAATGAGAAATTTTGGAGGGGCTAGAGGACTTAAAATTAGAAAAAAAAACACACTTTACCTTCTTTAATTCAATTTCCAATGCACCTCATTTTTTTCATATAGATTTATATTCCTTACTATATCATATTCGTTCTGCCTGAAAATTCTTCTTCAATCTTTCCTGCAGTTTAGGACTGCTGGCAATGGATTCCTTCAGGCTTTATTTGTCCATCCTTCAACAAGTATATTATTGTTTGGTATAGAATTTGGTGTTGTCTTCATTTTTTTTCCAGCACAATAGAAATGTCACTTCATTGTCTTCTTCCTTGCATGACTTCTAATGAGAAGACTTTTGTAATTTGTATGCCTTTTTCACTCATGTAATGAATATTGGTGTGTGTGTGTGTGTGTGTGTGTGTGTGTGTGTGTGTGTTTACAACATATATGTATACATTAAAAATTATCAAATTTTATACTGGACTAGGTGCAAGTTACTTATATCAGTTATAACCTAACAAAGCTATTAAATATCATCTACTGAGAAAAAAGTAGAATTTACTTAAAGTGTTATGTTCTGCATTTACTTTTATGTACTATACTTATGCATCTATTTCTTCAGTAGAAATATAAGGAGATATGTATTAGTGAACTGTAGATTTTATTAAAAGGTGAAACAATAATCCCAAATAACATAGTCAACTTAGAGAGATTTTTGAGTCACCTAGAATCAAGTTTCAGATGTCAGAGATAATTATTAATTTTAGATGAGAAACAGAAAATACTAATCAAATTCTGCCAAAATACTATATGTAAAATTAGAAATGCACGCTACTTTAAATTTAAAAAAAAATCAGTGTTTTTCATTTAAAATTAGTATGTAATTTTGTGACTACATCATATATAATTAGATGTAAAATATGGCTTCAAATTAGGATAATCTAGGAGATTTAAAAATATGTTTATACCAGACAAATCCTATTTCAGACAAAAATCAATCATAATATCAGGAATGAAACAGGCATTTTGAATTCCCTCCATGGGATTAACAAAAATGTGCAATCAATACTGAGAGGCAGTGATGAATGTTAGCTTGGCATAGTCATCTTCATTTCTGAATATACTTGTGAACCACAGTCCTGTTGCTTATGTCACTTAGATTAAAAACTTGTTAACTTTAGGAGGCAATAGAATTGCCCTTAAATATGCATAATAATATAGCATGCACAAGAGTTTTGATTATTTGAGTCAAACACCTTGTCAGCCTTTGTCTTGAGGGCTCAATCAAAATTAGTTCATATCCCTGATTAAGTAAAGCTTATGTATTCTTATGACAAAGAAATATTCTAACTGTAGAATTTCTTATTAATACAGATTTACATTTATTCAAAAACACATTCGAACTGCTTGTTGCCAAATAATAAATGGTATAATCACTTCCAAATTAACTCAGTGTTGTAATTATGTTTTTTCAGTGTTTAAAAATTAAGTAAAATTAATCACATTGCCAGTGGAACTGTTTCTCACAGACATTTCATCTTTAGCTTAATAAAAGAGTTTTAATTACATTTATAATATGGAGTTGGTTTATTTTGACATATACAAACTATGATTTTCATGTAATCATTGAGATAATCCTCTAACTCTGAGTTACTACTTATAAAACATGTAACATCTGTCTAGAATCTCTACATAGTAATACATCAATATAAAGTGTTCTGCAGCCTAAGTTTGGAAGTCTCACATCTCACTGTCCTTCTCAGCGTATGTTGCATGTATGTTTTATGAGTAAAATCATTATCATCTCTTCAAAGTTACCTTCAATGTCATGGAGATCTCGTCATAGTCAATCTCTCATAAAAACTTTTCAAATTGATCAATATAAGAAAAGCATTTTATTCTCTTCCAGTTTTTCAAGCAAGTTTTAAAGTGCTATTACTGGATCAGATTATGAGAGATGCACAGTAACTTACACAGTTAACAAAAATAAACAAATAAATAATGTATCAGTATATAAAAATTCATAACATTTCTGAGTTTGAGAAACCTGGCATAAGATACATATAGGTTTGCAAAGATAAAAGATGATTTCGTAATTTTCATATTGAAAGTATTTTAAGATATAAAAATAATACAAAATCCTTAAGAAAACAGTAGAAATGTTACAAGATCTTTTAACACTTTTGTATTATGGCCCTAATAAAGAATAATGGCCCAAAATAATACAAACATTGAAAAACAAGCCAATTAAAATTACAAAAAAAAAAGAAAAACTGTTTCTTACTTGATAAAATAAAGGAAGGTGTAATAAAAATTAAGAGAAATAAAGAATTTAAAGATAAATGGTGGAATTTATTGTGCTTAAGTTAAAGAAAGTGGTCATGACAAAGGATATTTTTGTTTCTTTGCAAGTTTCAAAGTAATATTATTTTGATAATAGTTGGTTATTTTAATTGATAATAATAATGCATGAACTTTTTCACAGTAAGTTCAAACTACATTACTAAGTTTTACATTTCCACAAATCAAATTTAGCTTTGAACTCATAGCCTATATAAGGTATAGCTACTTTCAGAGGAAAGTGAAAAATACAATGTCTGCCAACATGAAAAGGAACACTACAAACATGCACCAAACTGTAAAGGTAAACAATAAAAGATGAAGATAAAAACAAAGAATACACAATACAGTCAGAAAACAGTTAACAAAACGACAGAAGTAAGTTCTTAGCTATTAATAATAACCCTAAAAATAAATAATTTAAATTCCCCAATTAAAAGATATAAACTGGCTGAATGGGGGTAAAAAAGGGGATCCAACTATATACTGCTTATGAGAAACTCATGTTACCTATAAAGACACACATAGAATAAAGGTAAAAGGATAGAAGAAATATCCTACAGAAAACAAAAATGTGATATGAGCTATACATGTGTCAGACAAAACAGACTTTAGGTTAAAAACATAAAAAGTGACAAAAAACATTATTATATAATGACAAAGGGAACAATTAAGCAAGAGGATATAACAAATGTGTATGTGCTCACAACCCCAAAGCACTCAGATATTATACAAAGCAAATATTGTTACAGCCAAGGTGAGAGATAAACCCCAATGCAATAATAGTTGGAGACTTCACCCCACTTTTAGCATTGGACAGATAATCTAGATAGAAAATGAACAAACATCAGGCTTAATCTGTATTATGGACCACAAGAACGTCACAGACATTTACAGAACATTTTATACAATAGCTGAAGGATACAATACACCTTCTTCCCATCAGCTCATGGAGCTTTCTCCAGGATAGACCATACATTGGGTTGCAAAAGAAGTCTCAACAAATTTTTAAAACTTGAATCATATCAAGTATCTTCTTCATCTGAGAAAGAAATAAAAAGCCTACAACTTAGCATTCTCTCTTTCTAGATAACATGATATTATAAATATATAATATATATTAAAAAAAAACCCTAAGTTCTCCACCAAAAAAACTGCTAGAACTGAAGAATGAATTCAGTAAAGTTCCAGGATACAAAATTGATATGGTTTGGCTATTTCCCCACCCATATCTCATCTTGAATTTCCATTTGTAGTGGGAGGAACCTGGTGGGATGTGATTGACTCACAGGGGTGGGTCTTTCCCATGCTGTTCTCATGATAGTAGGTCTCATGAGATAGGATGGTTATATAAAAACAGGAGTTTCTCTGCACAAGCTCTCTTCTCTTGTCTGACACCATGGGAGATGTGCCTTTCACTTTCCATCATGTTTTGGAGGCTTCCCCAGCCACGTGGAACTGTAAGTCCCCTTTCTTTTATAAATTGCCAAGTCTTGGGTACATCTTTATCAGCAGCATGAAAATGGACTAATACAAAAATCAGTAGCATTTCTATACACTAATAACAAATTAGCTGATAAAATGAGTTAAGAAAGTAATCCCATTTAAGATAGCTACAAAATAAATGTCTAGGAATAAATTTAAACAAGGAGGTGAAAGACTGCTACAACAAAAACTATAAAACACAAATGAAAGAAACTGAAGAGGGCACAAACAAATGGAAAAACATCCTATGCTCATGGATCAGAAGAATTATTGTTGAAATAACTATACTTTCTAAAGCAATCTACAGATTCATTATAATCTCTATCAAAATACCAAAGGCATTTTTCACAGAAATAGAAATAATAATCTTAAAATTTGTATGGAAGTACAAAAGACCCCGAGTAGCCAAAACAATAATGACCAAACAGAACAAAGCTGGAGACATCACACTACCTGGATTCAAAATATGCTACAAAGTGACAGTATCCAAAACAGCATAGTAATTGTATAAAAATAGACACAAATACCAATAGAACAGAATAGATAACCTAGAAATAAGTCTACATATTTACAGCCAACTGATTTTTTACCAAGGCACCAAAAACATGCAATGGAGAAATGATACTGTCTTCAATAAATGTTGCTGGGAAAGCTGGATGTCCATCTTCAGAAGAGTTAAACTAAAATATTATTTCTCACCATATACAAAAAGGACTCAAAATTGATTAAAGACTTAAACCTAAAACTCCAAACTATGAAACTATTAATAGAAAACATTCTTCAGCACATTGGTCTAGACAATGATTTTATGGCTATGACATCAAAACCAAGGCAACAAAAATGAAAATAGAAAAATGTGACTATATTAAACAAAACAGTTTCTGCACAGCAAAGGAAACAGTAAACAAAGTCAAGGGATAACTTGTAGAGTGGGAGAATATATTTGCAAACTATTCATCTAACAAGGGACTAATATCCAGAATACACAAAAGCTCAACTCAACAGCCAGAATACAAATATTTGTATTAAAAAGTTGGAAAGGGACATGAATAAACATTTATAAAAAGAAGACGTGTAAATAGCCAACAAATACATTTTAAAATGCTCAATATTGCTAATCATCAGGGAAATACAAATACAACCATAATAGGATATCACATCACCCTAATTAAGATGATATATGAAAAAGACCAAAAATAACAAATGTTGGTAAGAATGCAGAGAAAGGGGACTCGTATACTATTGACAGAAATGTAAATTAGCATAAACATTATGAAAAACACTATGGATTTTCCTCAAAATACTTAAATTGGAACTACTACCACACAATCCACCAAATCTCTACTTGCTATTTATCCAAATGAAAGAAAATGAGTATATTGAAAGGATATCTGTACCTTCATGTTTATTGCAGTATTACCCACAGTAGCTAAAATATTAAATAAATCTCAGTTTCCACTAATGGATGAATGGATTAAGAAAAATGTGTTATTATATTTATACCTAACAAAATACTACTAAACTATAAAAAAGAATGCAATCTTGTCATTTTTAGCAACACGAAAGGTAGTGGAGATAATTATGTTACATGAAGTAAGCCAGGCACAAAAAGACAAATAGCGTATGTACTCACTCATATATTGGACCTAAAAAAGTTGATGTCATGGAGATAGATACTAGAATAATGTTTACCAGAGGCTAGGCAGAGTGAAGTGGGGTGAGATGAAAAGATGTTGGTTAATGAGTACAAATATGTTATATTAGTCTGTTCTCACACTGCTAATAAAGACATAACTGACACTGGGTAATTTATAAAGTAAAAGAGTTTCAGTGGAGTCAGTTTCACATGGCTGGGGAGGCCTCAGAGTCATGGCAGAATGCTAAGTGGGGGCAAAGTCACTTCTTGCTGAACTCTTGCTGACAAGAGAGAGCATGCGCAGGTGAACTCCCCTTTATAAAACCATCAGATCTTGTGAGACTTATTCACTATCATTAAAACAGCATGGGAACACCCACCTCCATAATTCAATTACCTCCTACTAGGTCCCTCCCACAACACATGGGCATTATGAGAGCTACAATTCAAGATGAAATTTGGGTGGAGGCACAGCCAAACGATATTTTTTCAACCCTGGCCCCTCCTAAGTCTTGTGTCCTCACATATCAATACAAGTCATCCCCTCTCAACAGTTTCCTAAAGTCTTAACTCATTTCATCATTAACTCAAAAGTCCACAGTCCAAAAACTCATCTAAGAAAAGCCAAGCCCCTTCTGCCTGTGAGCCTGTAAAATCAAAACCAATTACTTACTTCCTAGATACACTGGGGGTACAGGCATTGGGTAAATATACCCAATATCCCAATTCAAAATGGGGAAAAAAAAAACTGGCCAAAATGAAGGGGCTACAGGATCTATGCAAGTTTGAAATTCGTTAAGGCAGTCATTAACCCTTAAAGTTCCAAAATGATCTTCTTTGATTCCATGTCTCACATCCAGGGCACGTGGGTGCAAGAAGTAACTTCCCATGGTCTTGGGGAGCTCTGCTCCTGTGGCTTTGCAGAGTACAGTCCCCTTCCTGGCTGCTTTCACAAGCTGTCATTGAATGTCTACAGCTTTTCCAGGTGTGCTGTGCAAGCTGCCGGTGGATCTACCATTCTGGGTTCTGGAGGATGGTGGCCCACTTCTCACAGCTCCACTAGGCAGTGCCCTAGTGGGGACTCTGTGTCAGGACTCCCACCCCACATATCCCTTCTGCACTGCCCTAGCAGAGGTTCTCCATGAGGGCTCTGCCCCTGCAGTACACCTCTGCCTGGACATTCAGGCGTATCCATACATCCTCTGAAATCTATGTAGAGGTTCCCAAACCTCAATTCTTGACTTCTGTGCATCCTCAGGCTCAACACCACATGGAAGCTGCCAATGCTTGGGGCATGCACCCTCTGAAGCCATGACCTGGGCTGTACTTTGACCCCTTTTAGCCATGGCTGGAGCTGCTAGCATGCAAGGCACCAAGTCCAAAGGCTGCGGATAGCAGGGGGACCCTGGACCCAGCACCAGGAACCACTTTTCCTTCTTAGGCCTCTAGGCCTGTGATGGGAGGGTCTGCCATGAAGGTCTCTTACAAGCCCTGGAGACATTTTCGCCATTGTCTTGGTGATGATTTGCGTTTGGCTTCTGCTACTTATGCAAATTTCTGCTGCTGGCTTGAATTTCTTCCCAGAAAATGGCTTTTTCTTTTCTACTGCATTGTCAGGCTGCATATTTTTCCAACTTCTATGCTCTGCTTCTTCTTGAGCACTTTGCCACTTAGAAATTTCTTCTTCCAGATACCCTAACTCATCTCTCTCAAGTTCAAAGTTCCACAGATCTCTAGGGATGTGGCAAAATGCCATCAGTCTCTTTGCATAGCAAGAGTGACCTTTACTCCAGTGCCCAACAAGTTCCACATCTCCATCTGAGACCAACTCAGCCTGGACTTTATTGTCCATTACACTATCAACATTTTGGTCAAAGCCATTCAACAAGTCTCTAGGAAGTTTCAAACTTTCGCACATTTTCCTGTCTACTTCTGAGCCCTCCAAACTGTTCCTACCTCTGCCTGTTACCCAGTTCCAAAGTAGCTTCCACATTTTTGCATATCATTACAGCAGCACCCCACTTTCTGTGGTACCAATTTACTGTATTAGTCTGTTCTCATGCAGCTAATAGAGACATACCCGGGACTGGATGATTTATAAAGAAAACAAGGTTTAATGGACTCATGGTTCCACATGGCTGGAGAGGCCTCACAATCATGGTGGAAGGCTAAGGAGGGGCAAAGGCACTTTTTACATGGCAGCAGGCAGGAGAGAGCATGTGCCGTGTATCAGAATATCACATGTACCCCATAAATGTGTACAAATATTATGCGTCAAAACAATTGAAAGAGCATAATTTAGCTAAGTGATATGGTTTGGCTCTGTGTCCCCACCCAAATCTCATCTCAAATTATAATCCCTGTGTGTTGAGGGAAGGAAGTGATTGGATTATGGGTGCAGTTTCTCCTATGTTGTTCTCATGATAATGAGTGAATTCTCATGAGATCTGATGGTTTTATAAATGGTAGTATTTCCTGCCCTCTCACATGCTCTTTCTCACCTGCTGCCATGTAAGATGTGACTTTTCCCTTTCCACTGGATTGTATTAGGTTGGTGCAAAAATAATTACAATTTTTGCCATTAAAAGTAATGTCAAAAGCTGCAATTACTTAATAAGTTTCCTGAGGCCTCACCAGCCATACAGAACTGTGAGTCAATTAAACCTCTTTCCTTTATAAATTACTCAGTCTCAGGAATTTCTTTATAGTAATGTGAAAATGGACTAATACTCCAAGGGACTGGAAGCAGATTAACATAGGTGTACCTGGCATCCCTAAAAGGGAGGTTAGGCAGAAAAATATTTAAAGGAATAATGACCAACATTTTCCAAAATGATGAAAATGATAAACTAACAGATCAAACTCCAATACAAGAAACCTAAAAGAAGCACCAAAGCATATTAAATCAATGTGCTTACTTGGCATATTTAAACAACAGTGCTCAGAAGTTATTCTTAAAAGCAACTGTAGTAAAACATTATGTACAGAGAAACAGAGAAAAGAATGACAAGAGGTTTCTCATTAGAACAAAGGAAGCTAGAAAATAAGATGCCATTTCTTTAAAGTTCTAAAGGAAAGCCTAATATATTATAAGTTCTAAAATAAAGACTATACTTTTATACCCAGTAAAAATATCTTTGTGGGGAAAAGAAAAAGAGATCAGACTATTACTGTGTCTATGTAGAAAGAAGTAGACATAAGAGACTACATTTTGTTTTGTATTAAGAAAAATTCTTCTGCCTTGAGATGCTGTTAATCTGTAACCCTACCCCCAACCCTGTGCTCACAGAAACATGTGCTGTGTTGACTCAAGGTTTAATGGGTTTAGGGCTATGCAGGATGTGCTTTGTTAAAGAAATGCTTGAAGGCAGCATGCTTGTTAAAAGTCACCACCTCTCCCTAATCTCAAGTACCCAGGGACACAAAACACTGCGGAAGGCCAGGCCGCAGGGACCTCTGCCTAGGAAAGCCAGGTATTGTCCAAGGTTTCTCCCCATGTGATAGTCTGAAATATGGCCTCCTGGGAAGAGAAAGACCTGACCGTCCCCCAGCCCGACACCCGTAAAGGGTCTGTGCTGAGGAGGATTAGTAAAAGAGGAAGGCCTCTTTGCAGTTGAGATGAGAGGAAGGCATCTGTCTCCTGCCCATCCCTGGGCAATGGGGTGTCTCGGTGTAAAACCCAATTGTATGTTCCATCTACTGAGATAGGAGAAAACTGCCTTAAGGTTGGAGGTGAGACATGCTGGCAGCAATACTTCTCTTTAATGCACCAGATATGTTTATGTATGTGCACATCAAAGCACAGCACATTTTCTAACCTTGTTTATGACACAGAGACATTTGTTCACATGTTTTCCTGATGACACTCTCCCCACTATACCCTATTGTCCTGCCACATCCCCCTCTCTGAGATGGTAGAGATAATGATCAGTAAATACTGAGGGAACTCAGAGACTGGTGCCCGCGTGGGTCCTCTGTATGCTAAGCGCCGGTCCCCTGGGCCCAGTTTTCTTTCTCTATACTTTGTCTCTGTGTCTCTTTCTTTTCTCAGACTCTCGTCCCCCCCAGCGAGAAACACCCACAGGTGTGGAGGGGCAGGCCACCCCTTCAATCTTTTAGTAAAGAAGGCATAATAAAGATATATTGAGTAATAACCCAATGAAAGAATTCATCACCAAGGGACCAGTAATACAGGAAATGTTTTTAAAAAGCCTTTTGGCAGGGCACGGTGGCTCATGCCTTTAATCCCAGCACTTTGGGAGGCTGTGGCAGGAGGATCACCTGAGGTCAGGAGTTTGAGACCAGCCTGGCCAACATGGTGAAACTCCGTCTCTACTAAAAATACAAAAAATTAGCCGGGCATGGTGGCAGGTGCCTGTAATCCCAGCTACTTGGGAGGCTGAGGCAGGAGAATTGCTTGAACCTGGGAGGCAGAGGTTGCAGTGAGCTGAGATCGTACCATTGCACTCCAGCCTGGGTGACAAGATGAAGACTCCATCTCAAAATAAATACATACATACATACATACATACATACATACATACATACATACATACATAATAAAGAAGCCTTTAGAGCATTAGGAAAGGGATACCAGATGAAAATATGCATCTATACAAAAGGGATAAAAGGCATTGGAAATCATAAATAGATTGGGTAAAATATCAGATCATTTTTATTACTTAAATTCCTTCATAATTGTCTTAAAGCAAAACCTGATGCTTAACTTAAACAATAGCATACAGGCTTGGAGGAAAGTAATAGAAATGTACTTTTTTAAAGTTTCTTATCCCATTTGTAAAGCAGTACAACATCATTTGAAGGTACACTTTAAATAATGTAAAATGAAAATGTACCACTAAAATATAAATAGTTACAGCTAATAACCTAAAAATTGTATTAAATAGAATAATAAAAAATACACCTACTCAATTGACCAAAAACAAAGCAGAAAAATTTAAAGGTAAGAATAACAGGGGCAAATATGAAACAAATGCTAAGAATACTGAGATTTCAGATGCAAACACAACTATATTAATTATCTTATTACATGTAAATGTTCTAAATATCCCCAATTAAAAAACAGATTTTCATATTGAATAAAAAGCAAGACTCAACTACATGCTGCATATAGCATATGCATTTTAAACATAAATAGATATACAGTTTAAAAATAAAAGGTAAAAATGTCATACCTATGGTAACACTATTAAATGAAGAGCTGAAATAGCTGTATTTATATCAGTGTTTGTTTCAGACCAAAGAACATTATCAAGGTTTAAAAAAACATTTCATAATATTATAATCATCATGGGCCCAATTCATCAATGAGACATAACAATGTTTGAAATTTGTGAACCTAGTAATAGTGCCTCAAAATAAATGAAGCAAACATTGATATAATAAAGATAGGCAAATCTATAAAAATAATTATCCATATTTTAATAAATGAAAGAGTGGAACAACACCATCAAGCAAATTGTCCTAACTGACATTTTGGAAGATGCCAGTAAAAGCAGTAGAATACACATTCTTTTCAAGTGCACATGGAACATTGTCCAAAGTACAACATAGTTTAGGCCATACAATGAACCCTAATAGTTTGAGTATGTTTTCTAACTCCAGTGGAATTAAATTAGAAATCAATAATAAAACTCTGCAAAATTATGCAAATATTTGAAACTAAAATAAACACTTCTAAACACCCCTGTGACACCTAATAAATCAAGAGAGAAATTAGTATTTTTAACTTAATGAAAATAGATACTATTGCATACATATAGCAGAATTTGTAGGATGTCATACAAGTTTCATACTACAGTGATGTCTCTGATGCTAGTTCATTACCACCAGCTTTATTCTAACTTTTCTTTCTGGTTTATTTTTATAACTTTCTGTCTGACAATGTGGAACCTGGCTCCCATTATCCATTTATTTATTTGTTCAAATGCATTTTACATGTAAATCATTTTCAGAATTATTGACTGCATGACCATTATAAATAAATTAAACTAAAGTGATTTTGTACAGTTTCTTTGCCTTTAGCCTTATAATATTGAGTCATAACATCATTTTTCAAGTGGCTTTGGTTAATTTCTGTGCTATTAACCAACTGATGAAGGTTAACATTACTGATAATGTCATGAAGTAATCATTTTTCCTTGATATAGTGAGACAATAAGGGCACTTCACCTCTGAATATTTTTTCCAAAAACACATAACCGCAACTTAAACATGAGAAAAACAACCAACAAACATAGACAGAGGGAGAGGATACTTGGCTATTACTCCCTAAGACTGTCAAGATTGTGAAAAACAAGGAAAGACTGAGAAACTAGGACAGACCAGAGGAGACTGGGGAGATATGACAACTATATGATACCATAGGTTGAATCCTAGAACAGAACTAGGATATTATTAGGAAAAAACTATGAACTGCAAATAAAGTGTTGAATTTAGTTAATCATAATATATCAATGTCAGTTACTTAATGTTGATGAATGTTCCATAGTAATACAGGATGTTAAGAATGGGTAAACTGAGTGAGAGGTATCAGGAAACACTTTACAATCTAATACTTTTCTATAAATCTGAAATTATTCTTATACATTTAAATAAATAATAGGAAGCATTATGTGAAAATTAATGCAACATATTTTAAACATAAATGATGCTGTAAAGAATGAGTTATTAACATCTTAAATGATAAAACTATGCAGTTTGTTCTTTCCTCTAATTTTATTATTTTTTCCCAAATATCTTATGTGCATTTTAGGAGGTCTACATTGGTTTTATAGTGACTTTATGATTGAAAGTTATTTCCCAGGTCACATTTATTTTTTCAATCTCATAGTCTCACTTCAATCTTCATTCTAAACTTACATTTTATAGGTTAACAACTGTTTTCCAGGAAATGTCACATAAGTTTTTATGTAAAGATTGTATTTTTCTAGTGAGACGATTTAATAATTGTATTTGGTGAAGCTGACATTTTCAAAAGTATGTATCTATCATCTTTGAATTTCTCAAACTTTGTTTCTAACTAGATTTCTCCAGAATAGGTCCATCTGTCTCATGTAGAGTTTCAATACAATTCTATTATATTATATGTCTTTATATTTTCTGTCAGTTAAACTCTTTTATTAACTTCCAAACTGAAAAAAAAGAAGTAACCATATTTTTTCTCATATGACTATCACATCACATTTTCAATGCAGTTCACCAAATTTTGCTCATTTAGAGTTTTGCAGTGCTCTCTTAAATCACTACTGACTAGATAACTCTGCAATTTTTACCTGGTTTTTTAGACTTTTCATGTTTTTTCACTGTACTAGTGAGAAAGATATTACTTTAATGCAGATTATCATTGGTAACAAAAGTTAGGGTTAATAGCAAAATGAAACCAAAACAAAAACCTGATTAAAAACGGGCAGAGAGGCAAAGACACAAAAATTGTCAGCAACAAATATATGAAAAAATGCTTAACATGTCTAATCATCAAGAAAATAGCAAGTCACAACCACAGTGAGATATTACCTCACACTTGTTAGAATGGCTATTATCAAAAAGACATGACGTAAATGTCAGGGGAAATGTGGAGTAAAGAAAACCCTTGCATACTGTTGGCAGGAATATAAATTGGTACACCCATGGTTCTTTAAAAAATTAAAACTAAAACTACCAAGTGATTCAGCAATCCCAGTACTGGAGATATATCCAAAGGAAATGAAATCAGTACATATCTGA
Organism: Homo sapiens; assembly: GCF_000001405.40. Classification (NCBI taxonomy): domain Eukaryota; kingdom Metazoa; phylum Chordata; class Mammalia; order Primates; family Hominidae; genus Homo; species Homo sapiens. The sequence continues at coordinate 193,147,024 of NC_000002.12, forward strand.
AAGAGATATACCCACTCCCATGTTTATCACAGCATTGTTCACAATAGTTAAGATATGGTATAAATCTATGTTCCATCAATGGACAAATGCATGAAGAAAATACCATACACGTACACACAATACATACACATACACACTGGAATATTATTCAGCCTTAAAGAAGGAAACGCCATCATTTGTGATAGTACAGATAAACCTGAAAGACATTAGGCTAAGTGAAATAAGCCAGGCACAGAAAGACATACATTGCAAAATCTCACTTATATGTGGAATTTTAAAAAGTCAAACTCTTAGAAACAGAGAGTAGAATGATAGTTGGCGGGGTCTGGGGGATGAAGGAAATAGGAAGATGTAGGTCAAAGGGTGCAAAGTTTCATTTATGCTGGATGAATAAACTCTGGAAATCCACTGTACAGCATGGTGATGATAGTTCATAATACTGTTCTGTGTACTTGAAATTTGCTAGAAGAGTAGATCTTAAATGTTCTTACCACAAAAAAAGATAACTATTGAGGTAATGGATATGTTAATTAGGTTGAGAGTAGTAATCATTTCACTATATATGTATGTTAAAACATCAAGTTGTCTGTCTTAAATATATATAAATTTTATTCAATTATACCTCAATAAAGTCGGAAAAATAACATATCAACTTTTAAGGCACAGACTATTAATGTAGAAGTTAGTTGGAAATAAGAGATTAAAAAATCAGTAATTTTTCAAGTTAAGCAAACATCTTCAATACAGAAATGAGATATCTATTAGATTCTAAGATTCAGGTCCAGGCCTCCTTTCAGAATATCTTGCTGGTTACTGTTTTGATTGCATAGAGAAAATAAAGCTATGAGCAACTGACTCATGTAATGAAAATATATACAGAAAATGACTTAGACTCCAAAGGGCAAATCTATTATTTAAAATATACAACTATCACATGTAATTGAGTAATGTAATTGACATGATCAATACATTCTATCCTTTATAACAAGACATCACATATTGACATACCATAATCTAAAATATACATAATTCCCACAAGAATCCCAGTAGTTACTAGAGTATTCAGTCATTCTTTTTATTTTTTTAGATGGAGTCTCGCTCTGTCGCCAGGCTGCAGTGCAGTGATGCGATCTCAGCTCACTGCAGCCTCCATCTCCCAAGTTCAAGCGATTCTCCTGCCCCAGCCTCCCAAGTAGCTGGGGTTACAAGCGCGTGCCACCAAGCCCAGCTAATTTTTGTATTTTTAGTAGGGATGGGGTTTCACCATGTTGACCAGGATGGTCTTGATCTCTTGACCTCATGATCCTCCCACCTCAGCCTCCCAAAGATCTGGGATTACAGGCATGAGCCACCGCACCCAGCCAAGTATTCAGTCATTCTTTACCTGTAGTCCCACATGCGTGGGAAACAAAAGCTTAAACAGAAGTTGCTTATTGAGCCTGGAATTATAACTGGGAGAGTCATTGGTATAAAACTAACAGACCTGTATTCATTCACCTCACTATGATAAAGTCTTATGAATTGAACCAATATCTGTATTTCTTCAGAACACAACCTGGTTAAGCATTGCTTCTTCCCTCCTTTCCTCACAAAATTATATTACACAAATATGCCTGTGTATTAGTTTCCTATTGCTTCTATAACAAATTACTACAAAGTTAGTGGTAAAACAATACAAATTTATTATCTTTAGTTCTGGAGGTAAGAAGTATAAAATGAGTAAGCAGTGCTGAATTTCTTCTGGGTGATCTAGGGAAGAATTTATTTATTTTTTTAGATTCTAAAGGACATCTGCATTCCTTGCCTTGTTTCTTCCTCTATCTTCAAAGCCAGCAGCAGAGCCTTTTGAAAGCTTTCTCACTCTTTCATCTCTGTTTCTGTTGTCATGTCCCCTTCTCTGACTTTGATATTCCTCCCTCTATCCTATAAGAACCCCTGTGATTGCTATGATTGCTATCTTTTTTTTTTTTTTTTTTTTTTTTTGAGACTGAGTCTCGCTCTGTCACCCAGGCTGGAGTGCAGCGGTGCGATCTCTGCTCACTGCAAGCTCCACCTTCTGGGTTCACTCCATTCTCCTGCCTCAGCCTCCCGAATAGCTGGGACTATAGGCACCCGCCACCACCACATCGGCTAATTTTTTTGTATTTTTAGTAGAGACGGTGTTTCACCGTGTTAGTCAGGATGAACTCAATCTCTTGACCTCATGGTCCGCCGGCCTTAGCCTCCCAAAGTGCTGGGATTGCAGGCGTGAGCCACTGCGCCTGGCCCCTGTGATCGCTATCTTACAAGGACTTTTGTGATTACCATTGGGCCCACCCAGATAATGCAAGAAAATCTCCCAATTTCAAGATCCTTCATTTAATTATATCTTCAAAGTCTCTTTGCCATGTAAATTAACATATGGACAGGTTCTTGGCATTAGGATCTTGTCATCCCTGGGTGGGGACATTACTCAGTAAACTATGCTTGAATTATTACACATTTATTTAAAATCTTCTTTAATAATATGTTATTATACAAATTTGCTTAAATTCATTCAATATTTTAACCACGTAGCTTGTTTTTCAAATTAAGATGTTTACATGTTTTATGTACGTCTCTGATTATATCCTTATAAAAAGCTACTAGATGGGTAATGCTAAGAAAACAGATCATATCATTTTTTCAGAGGATTGAAGTTGTGATGATTAACATTTATTGTTCATGTTTCTATTTCAAGGCAATTTTAAAAATTATTTCACAAAGCTTCTGTATGGAAAATTGATATTTCAGTTTTTATTGCTTCATGTTTAAATAATTGAAAAGATTATAAGCAATGTAAGTTTTTTCATAATTTGATGAGCTTTTTAAGAAACTGTGTATTCTCTTGTTTATATCTTTTCCTCAGATTTCTATCAAGATGTGTACTTTTAAGAAATAATATAGAAATATACATATATACTGTTAAACAAGACATTATAAGGCAATAATTCACCAATTCTTAATATGTTCCACTTTTGAAATTTATTTTGCATCACTTTAAGCTGCTTTTCCTACATCATTGCCTAAGTGCGTTTTAAATGTCAAGTACTTTGTTGGCAGTGGTGGGTGATGCTGGGCTGGGAGCTGAGGGGTCTTAGATGCTGGCATGGATCACTCACCAATACCTTTAGATAAATAAATAAATAAATAAATAAAGTTTAAGTACTTTATATGTGAACTAGATGAACACTATGTTTCAATTCTTAAACAACCTGATGAACTGTCATTTTATTGTCATTTTATAAAGGAGAAAACTGAAAATTGGATGAGTATACCAATTGCCAAAGATCTCATAATTAATACAGCTGGGTAGTTCTAAGTAAAATCTCCAATGTAAATGCAATGTCATGCTGCTTTGTCTTATATTAGCAAATTTTATGAGAGTCAAAAATACTTTGAATAATAAAGTGCATTTAAAACTATTATAATAACTAATAAGATCTTATATATGTATTTTTTGTTTTTTTTTAAAAGCCTATGTGTTTGCTTCTCATATATAAAAAGCCAATGTCTTACTTTATTAATTTTGTTCTCTAATTTATTATATATGTCTTTTCTGAGACACAACATTTTAAAGTTTGATATTAAAGTGGTAGATTGTGCAAACACATCCATATTCTGTTTATTCAAAGATTATACCTGAATATAGACCAGATGCATAAAAATAATAAGGATGAAGGAAAATAATTAGAATTAGCAATGGTCAAGCAATTGCAAGTAAAATGCTGGGTTACTGGAAACAGTTTTAGTCATATAGAAATGAATACAATTACCATACATTCCAACTATTCCAGTTCTGGTTATGTACCCAAAACAATTGAAAGCAGAGTCTCAATAGCTATTTATATACTCATGTTCATAGCCGCATTATTCACAATAGCCAAAATGTAGAAACAACCCAAGTGTCCTTAAACAGATATATGGATAAACAAACTATGGTATATAAATATATTGGAATATTATCCATTCATAGAAAAAATAAAGTTCTGACACATGCTATAGCATGGATGAACCTTAAAAATATCATGCCTAAATGAAATAAGCCATACACAAATGACAGATATTCTATAATCCCAGTTATAGAAAATATTAGAATAGGTAAACTCATACAGACAGAAGGCAGATTGGAGGTTGCCACGGACTGAATTGGGAAAATGTGGAGTTACTATTTAATGGATACAGTTTCAGTTTTGCAAGAAGAAAAAGTTTTGCAAGATGACAGATGATGGTGATGGTTGCATAGCAATATGAATGTAGTTTATGAATTGAACACTTAAAAATGGTTAAGATGGTTAAATTTGTTATGTGTATTTTACAATGAATTTTTCTAAAAAATGAGTGTAGAAAGACAATCAACTTACTGGAATTACAAAGTTTCTGGGTCAAGCAATTTTTTATGTGCAGTGAGGAGACAGGGTCTCGCTCTGTCACCCAGGCTAGCATACAGTGGTGTAACCATAGCTTACTGTAACTTGAATTCCTGGGCTCAAGCAATCCTCTTACTTCAGAATCCCAAAGTTTTGGGATGACAGGCATGAGCCACCACACTCGGCTCAAGTAGTCTTCAACAGAGAACAGGAATAAGAAGTAGGGTTGCAGCTATGCCTGTCAGCTTCTATTATTTTTCCTTCAGTCTTCACAAAAGAACAGTTGACTAGTACGTAAACCAATTTTAAAAATTAAAGAAAGAGAGCAACTACGAAATAACCATCTGGGGGAAATAACAGCTTCTCAGGTGTTTTTTATGTTTTATGTTTTCAACATTTATGTTTCATGGTAAAGCCCTACTCATTCTCTAACTTGAAAGTGTTGTGGCCTGATAGCAGCTTCAGTCAACTCACTTTAAGTTAAAATGTGCTCTCCAGTAACCAGGTATCCCAGTCAGGTGAGAAATTTCACTCACAGAGGAATACTTGGTAAGCAGACAGGTACAGAGCAGGTAAAGAAACTCATTTAAGCATCTTACTCCTTTGTTAAATATGGATGACTAGAACATGTGAATATTATCATCAGGATAAAAGGAGAATGCCAAGAAAAAAAAGTAAAGCATAAAATGACCCTGAGGGAACAATAGATTGTCAATTAAAATAATTTCCCCAGAATATAGAACTAAAAGGAAGAGAGAAATATCTAAATCTGTGAAGTAAATGTAATCCCAGAAATAGGACAGAGAGGAGAGAAAACTATAGGGAAAGTAAATTTCAGAGTTGAAGAATAGCAATAGTCTTTAGTCTGAAAAAGAACGCTCATATTTAATTAGAATGAACAAATAATTCCACAACTAAACACATGGTAGTCATATTCCAAATAGAGTTCGCGAATAACACTTTTTTACCAAATCCTATCTTCAAAGGAAGGAGCGTCAATTTTGTATCAGATTTAAAAACGAATGGTAGAATACAATGAATCTGTGTTTTCAAATTCTATTGGAATGAAAATATTGAACTCAGAATTCCAAACCCATCAAGTTAATTTCATATCACGTATGATATTTTCATATCACATATCACATATCAATATGTCACCACTTAAGAGATGCAAGGGCTCAGATATTTTGACCATGTCCTCTCAGTTTCTGATAAAATTGTTTGTGGATGTACCCCAGGAAGGGCTTGATATTAAATCAAGAAAGTCATGAAAAGCAAACTGGCAGATAAAAGAATGAATGTAATATAGTAAAGAACAATGAACCCTTACTGTAATGTAATAAAAAAAATAATGCAGATGACATTGGTGTAGCAGGCCATGAGAAAAACTAGTTCACATAGGAATAAGAAGTTAGAAGGCTTTTGGAGGATGCCTTAGGGAGCAAGCCAAAAGTACTTGCCATGACTGAGAAGCCGAGTATGCTGAAGAAACATTTTTTAATTAGAAAAACTCAAAGCCAATTACAAATTAGGAAAAATAAATGTGTAAGAAATACCAAGGTCATTTACCAACACACATGTATATGTATATCTCACAATTACGGTATATATTTTCTTAAATATATGTAATTTAAAATGTACATGTAAAATACAATGTAAATTTATTTTCTTAAATACAATGTAAATTTATTTTCTTAAATACATAACATAATTTTTTATGTTTCCTTGAAGTCACTCTGCTGCTGCTACTAGGTAGTAAAACTGTCAAATCATTGGAATCAGAGAATCAGAGGAAAATAAATGTGATATTATTTTTTTTTTTTTTTTTTTTTTAGATGGAGTCTCACTCTGTCACCCAGGCTGGAGTGTAGTGGTGCGATCTCGGCTCACTGCAACCTCTGCCTTCCAGTTTCAAGTGATTCTCCTGCCTCAGCCTCCTGAGTAGCTGGGATTACAGGCACCTGCCACCACGCCTGGCTAATTTTTTTATTTTTAGCAGAGATGGGGCTTCACCATGTTGGCCAAGCTGGTCTTGAACTCCTGACCTTGTGATCTGCCCACCTCGGTCTCCCAAAGTGCTGGGATTACAGGCATGAGCCACCGCACCTGGCCAAATGTGATATTCTTACTACATTTTTCACTTCCAAAATTACAATAGTAATAATAATGGCATGATATATAGATTCTAAACTTTTTTTCAATAAATGGAAAACCAAGAAGATTTTATCACTTTATAAGTGATGTTAATCTTTACAATGTAAAAGGAATGTATAACTAACAGAAAGTGGAAACAACATAAAATGTGGAAGAGTGGTAGAAAAAAAGGTAAGAATGCTGACACACCGTGAGGCTGCCTGAACTTGTCTGAACAAGAATGCTTACAAGGAATTGATACTAAAACTAATGTCATAATATGTAAAACAGACTCGGAGTGAGGGAAAGGAATAAAGGAGGCATTATGTGTTAATTACCTGTCTTCCACAGCAGGGGACTAGTAAACATTGTCTAAAGTTAATATAGCTAAAGAAAATTGTGCATAGTATTTAGACTTATGAAAGTATTCACCAAAAAAATCTAGAAACAAATGCTATACAAAGTTCTCTTTGAAGTGGACCTGCAAGTATGGAGTAATCAGGTAGAATTTAAAAATAGGATAGATTCTTAATTCAACATACAACAAAATGGAAGATGACTTACAGGCCCCGCTAATTTTCTAAGACTGCCATAACAAAGCCCACATTGAGTGGCTTAAAATAACATAAATTTATTGTCTCATAGTGCTGGAGGCTAAAAGTCTAAAATTAAGATGCTGGTAGGATTTGTTCCTTCTGAGGCTTGCGAGGGAGAATCAGTTCAGTGCTGCTGGTTTTCCAGCAATCTTTGGCATTCCTTGGCTTGGATGCATCACTCAGTGCTCTGCCATCACATGGCATTCTCTCCGTGTCTTTTCGATTAGTCTTCTTCTGCCTATGTCTGCCTCTGTGTCCAAATTCCCCCTCTCTATAAGAATACCAGGCATATTGGATTCGGGTCCATCCCAATGATTTCATTGTAATCTGTAAAGACCTTCTTTGCAAATAAGATCACTTATGAAGTACTAGGGGGTAAGACTTCATATATCTTTTTGGGGGGACATAAAAATTCAATCAATAAAACACGTCGAATTTTAAGTAAAGTATTTAACATAGTGATTTTTCTTATCCAATCTCTTAAATGTCCTTTTTCACTCCTCAGATTTCACTCTTTTTCCTTATCCTATTATATTCAGATTCCCAAAGGGCCATGCTCTCCTTTGTTCTCCAGGAAATTGTAGCTTTACACAGAAAGAAAAAGTTTTTTGGAAGAAGTGCTACCCACTTGTGTTTCCCCTCCCTTCAGTTATTATTGGCTCTCATCAACCATTGAAGACTCTGAGGAAAGTCTGATAAGAAGTTACAGGTAACTTAAATTCTAGTTCTGACCTGAGAACTACAGTTGATTTTTTTCCATGTTTTACTTGAAAGCCAATGTTTTCTCCAGATAAGAATCTAAACCTGTATTTGGAGAAGATGTGCCTTGCTGAGAATGCATTTGATTTTGCCTATTTAAAATAAGTAACTCCTGTTCATTATTCTTACTAAGTATAAATGTTTCTTTGTCATTCAGAATTTGTGGTGTTATGTTCATTTACATACTTGAATATGTAAAATATTTCTTATGTTGAAAAGGAAAAAGAAAATTTAAGTCTGCCATACCATGAAATTTAAAACCAGCATGTTTTTTATGTGCACATGTATAGAAAGCATGAAAAAGGAATACCTTGCAAAAAGAACTACATCAGAAAGGAATCAGTCCAGTCCTGATCTAAAAGACAGAGCATGCCCACAAAGAGGTTTTGGAGTGAGACAGGCAAGGGAAATATGGTCACAATGGTTGAAATCCAAAACATTTCCTCTTACGGTTAATTATGTGGAATATTATGTTAAAATGTGTCTTACTTCTAAGTGTTAAGGAAGAATTTAGTATTAAACTAAGCAAACTTTAAAGTGATATAACTTAATTTCAAGAAAAAGTGGTATATCAGAAAGAAAACATAATTTTTAGTTCACTAAGCGGTTAACAGTGAACATTTACATAGTTACAATGTTGAAAATACAGAATATAAAAATATTCAAATAATATTTGAATGTTTTTTAATTTGGTTAATTTAGCACTTTCAACTTCAGTTTTATTACTGCTCCTTTTCTCAATCATTGAGGACTTCCAGGAGAATCTAATATAAGGCTAGAAGTGGTTCCAAGTCTAGTTTGAATCAGACAGACCTGGAGTTGATCTCTTTCTTAGTTCTCCTTGGAAACTAAAAAATGTATCCATATGTCATGGTCTTTAAAGGAGAGGAAATCAGATGATAAAATCCCAGCTCTCCTGAGTGTGTGATGTAAGATGCTAAATTCAGAAATCTTTGGCAAAAGAAACAGCAAAGAAATGTAGAGTTGGCTGCCACAAAGAAGTAAGTATAGAGGAGGGTAAGGCAAGGTATGATATCTCTATTTAAAAAGGAAAAAGATCAAAGAGTTTAGCATGAGCATAGGTAAAGAGATCCAATATATTATTCAAGGAACTGTAATGTGGCAAAACCTGACTGCGGAACAAGTATGGAGAAATGGCAGGAAATTAAGCTTGATAATTATATCTACAATGTGTTCTTCAAGCCTACTTGGTGTTTGTGCAGTGTACTAAGAATCATGGGGCATTCCTGAAGGATTTTCATTATGGGAAATTGTCAATCACACTTTCACCTTTAAGTGGGATTTTTGTGTGAATATGAATACTGTATATATGAATACCTTTGTTTTCCATGCGACAGCATAAGAGGTAAGTTTTACCAGAATGTTAGGTGAGGTAAAGAAAAATGGGAGCATATGAGATCTATTTAGGATGTTGATGTTTTAAAACTGTTTTATTTTATTGAATATTAATTTTGGAGTTTGAAGGAATGGAAAGCACACTATCGGCCTTGATTTGTAATTTATTTCAGAAATTCAATTGCAGGCAGACAGTAGATATTTGGTTATAAAAGAACTAGAGCCCAGAATATAGGTATATAAGAGCCTTTACTTCTAGCATACAAATGGAAGTTGAAGCTGTAAAATTTGGATGAAATCATCTAGGGCCATTGAAGTACAGAGAACAGAGGATCAAAGAGAGCCCTTGGGAATCCCTGACAGTATGAAGAAAAGTCGGGGCCCCCACAAGGGAGACAGAAAAGGTAAGGCTGTAAAGTTTCCTAGGTGCTCTGTGGTTTGATTGAGGGGATCTGTGAGTCACACCCTTAATCCCTTCAAAGAGCCTTTTGTGTGACTGAACACCTTGATATTTTGATTTTTCTGAGATATTAGTAAAATTTAATATAATGCAATCTTGGCTTTTTCTCTGGAGCATGCATTCCTGTCAGTAAATCTCTTAATTTTAACATGTTTTATAATTTGGATGGGCTGATAATTTCCCAGACATCTAGCTTTATTTCCTTTCTGTTTAACAATACTTTACTTTTTTTTTAAACTATTTAACTATTTTTTCTTTACATTTTACTCTAAACAGAAAGAAGAAACCAGACCACACCTTCAATAGTTTCTTCAGAAATTTTCTTAGCTAAGTATGGAAGTTTATCTTTGATAGTTTCTGCTATCCACATAATACAAGATACAATTCTGCTAAGCTTTCTACCACTGTCAAGCAAGTCTCTCTTCTTCCAATTTCCAATAACATGATTCTCATTTCCTTCTGACCCTCATCAGCAATGTTCTTAAGATTTCAGGCTTTTTCAATGGCCTGTTCATGATGATTTATCCATACTCTAAGGTAATTTAGCCTTTCTCTGTTAAGCTTCTCACCTCTAACACTTTAAGAACAGAGACTTTACAAACCATAATTCTGCTAACTGTTCAAGGCAATCTAGTTTTTCTTTTTCATTATACTCTACAAATTATTCTAAATTTTTGTAATGTCTGACTGCAAAACCATTCACACATTTTTTTGGCAATTGTTACAGCAGCACCTCACTCTTAGTATAAAAATATGTAATCATTTTCTATTACAGTTGTAACAAATTACCACACCCTTGGTGGCATACAAAACACAAACTGAGTATTCTACTGTTCTATAGGTAATAAGTACTGACAGATCTCACCAAGCTAAAGTCAAGATGTCCTCAGGACTGTGTTTCTTTTTGGAAGCTGATATAGTTTGGATCTTGTTTCTTCTAAATCTCATGCTGAATTGTTATCCCCATTGTGGGAAGTGGGTCCTGGTAAGAGGTAATTGGATCATGGGGGTGGATTTCTCATGAATGGTTTAGTGTTATCCTCCTGGTGATTTCCTCATGATAGTGAACGAGTTCTTGAGAGATCTGGCTGTTTAAAAGTATGTGGTATCTTCTTCCTGTCTCTCTTGCTCCTCTTCTTGCCATGTGAGACACCTGCTCCCCTTCCACCCTTCTCAATCATTGTAAGCTTCCTGAGGCCTGCCCAGAAGCCGAGCAGATGCCAGAACCCTGCTCCCTGTAAAGCCTGCCAAACTGTGGGCTGTGACCAAAAACTGTGACCCCAAAAAATACCTCTTTTATTTATAAATTACCCAGCCTCAGGTGTTTCTTTATAGCAATGCAGGAACAGTCTAACACAAAGGTTTTAGAGGAAAATCGTTTCCCTTGTCTTTTCTAGCTCCTGGAGGCAACCCACATTATCTTGCTTGTGGCTCGTTCTTCCATCTTCAAAGCCAGCAACATTTGTCTGTCTCTTCTAAACTCACATCACTCTTTGACCAAGCTGGGAAAGGTACTTCATATTTTAAGGACTCATGTGATTATCTTGGGCTCACCTGGACAATTCAGGATACTGTCCCCACCTCAAAGGTCCTTAACATTAATCACATCTGCAAAGTGTCTTTTGCCATGTAAAGTGTTCTCAGATTCTGGGAATTAGGGTATAGACATCTTTGGGGGGAAGGAGGCATTATTTTGCCTACCAAAAGATACGACAAGTGTGATTTCACAGGGAAGATGTCATAAAAAGAAATACTATGCTATAACCACCATACTAGATTTTGTTATATCACATATTAGACTACAATGTTATAATACATTATGTATGAATTATCTGTTAATTAAAAATTAATTATTGAGCACATGATGTTTTCTCCCCCATCTTAAAGAGAGAAACCACAACATATACAGTTGCCTAGTCATTAAGTATCCCCTTTTCCATATTTTATTCTTTTTTTTTTTTGAGACTGAGTCTTGCTCTGTCACCGAGGCTGGAGTACAGTGGCATGACCTTGGCTTACTGCAATTTCTGCCTTTCGGGTTCAAGTGATTCTCCTGCCTCAGTGTCCTGAGTAGCTAGGACTACAGGCACACACCACCACACCAGCTAATTTTTGTATTTTTAGTAGAGATGCGGTTTCACCATGTTGGCCAGGCTGGTCTCGAACTCCTAACCTCAAGTGATTCACCCACCTCAGCCTCCCAAAGTGCTGGAATTACAGGCGTGAGACACCGCGCCTGGCCACACTTCGAACTGATTTTTGCATCTTTTCTTTTCCATCATGAGCATTACTCTGACTACTTATATCATTCTCTTTGTTATTCACCTACATAAGGCCCTAATCAACTTTCAGCTGTCCTATTATAATGGCTCCAAGAGTGATTCAGTTCCTTTCAATACTATCCCATTGCTATCAGTTCTTTACACTGCAATCATAGTAAATAGTATAATATCTAAATCTAACACTATTGCTGCTTAAAACTTTTCAGAATCTCCCCATTAACTTAATTATTTTTCAGGACTTCTTGCGATGTTGTCCAGGCTGGTCTGGAACTCCTGGACTTAAGTGATCCTCCTGCCTTGGCCTTCAAAACTGCAGAGCTTACAGATATGAGCTACCGTGCTCTGCCCCCATTGACTTCTCAGCATGTTATGGACCGTCCTCCATAATTTGGTTTCTGATAAGTTTATAATTTTCATTCTACCTTCCAATATCTGACCTTGCCCTGTCACATTCTGGTAGATAGCTGTACTGTTCTCTCTCCCTTCTATTGCTTTGCACAAATTACTTTCTTTGTCTAAATTGCTCTCTTATTGATGGTTAATTGCTTTTAGTTTCCTTTTTGCTAAGTACATTCTGGATTCAGGACTTGACTCATGCACTCTCATTATTGCCCTGTCTACACCCCTCCAAACATGTTTGAATATTGTTCAATAGTATCTGTACCCCTTGAGGTCACAGATCATTGTTGTATTTGTCTTGATGGTGTCCAATGCATACTTTCATATTAAGCAAGTATTAGATACTCCATAAATATGTTTAAAGAATGAATGAATGAATATTAAAAAATAATAGAAATAATCTTTTTCAACAAATTTTAACTGTGTTGTATCAACAAAAACTGGATATATTTAAATTTTTAGAAATAACTTTCCTAAGCATTATCATTTTGACCTCAGTTATTACGCTACTGCAGAGGGAGACTGGTCAATGATTGTATTCATTGATAAGACCTTAATACAATTTTTGGAGATTGCATAAAAGCACATCTTGACTTCGTTTTTTATCTATAAAATAGAATACAAAATTCAATTGTATAATCTCAGCCTATGAGGTATTTACATGTGAATTTCAGGCAGACAAAATGCTATGTAATCTGCCTGATCTTCCAAATAAAGGCATGATAGTTTACCCAAACAATGGCATAGGCTTTAAAAGTTAATCTCAAAATAAAAAATGATCTTACTGGGCTCATACCAATTCTGATTACAGAGTATTCCCAGATTATAGGATTGCATGTAATATCTATGTATTAGTGCCTTCAGGCTGCCATAACAAAATACCACAAGTTGGGTGGCTTAAAGAATAAAAATTTGTTTCTCACAGTTCTGGAACGTTGAGAAGTCCAAGATCTAGGTGCCGGCCATTTCAATACTTGGTAAGGGCCCTTTTCCTGTCTTTCAGATGATTGTCTTCTTGCCGCATGCTTAGGTGCCCTGGAGCATGGGGAGAGGCAAGTTTATAAGTCACCTCTTGTTAAAAGGGCAGCAGCCCTATCAATTAAAGCTCCACACTTATGACCTCACTTAACTTTTGTCATATCCTCACAGATTCTATCTCTACACTCAGTCATAGCAACCTATACATTTATTAAAAATGGGAAAACATCAGAAAATTAGGACAATTTTTTTCAGTAATTTCATCTAGATGTGTGAAGTAACTCTTCTAAACTAAAAATAGAGGTTGGTTCATTTTCTATACTATGAGTTATGGGTGTGTGTGGGAGCGAATGGATTGACCCTTGATTGCAAAATAAAAGCCCAATTTCCAGGTATATATATAGATTAGAAAGCAATAGATGGTCAGAAGTGTTGACCCAAGAGGGCAATCAAAGAGCAAGAACAGGATCAAAGAGAAGAATCAGCAAAGCGAAAGAGAAAAAATAGGATTGAGCAGTAGAAATAGGAGCAAGTGCCTAGAAAGATTTTCAGCAGCAACTGGACACAGGCAGTGAGAGGCTTTCGTAAATCTGTCAAGTCAGAAGATTGAGGGGAGAAGGCTAGAACAACACTGTTGGCAGGAATTACCAAGTCTCACTGGTAATGAAAATTTTCTGGGGAATTAAAAAATATCTAGAGTAAATCCTAGATCCAAAAACCATTGTGGAGACTGCAAAGAAGTAATTGACACTAAGAAATAAAAAAAAATACAATTAGTTGTAATAATCAGGCAAATTTCTAGAACTTCTGCCTTTGCCCATTTGCAATTCTATGTTTGATTAAATTATCTTAAATGTATATTAAGAAAAGGTAATTTCATTAACTATTTTTCCCATTATTTCTTTAGGTGGGCATACCTTGATCATCGTTTTATAGATAAAGAAAATAATGTAATATAGTAAAAAATATTGCAAAATTAAAATAATTTACTGCCTTCTTAAAAAAATAAGTATTTGGAGCAGTTATTCTGAATCAATTTCAACAGTTAAAACAAATGGCTCTTAAAATTATTAAATTCAAACAATTTTCTGATTTTGAAAACTTCTATTTAAAATCAATGGAAGTATACAAAATTAAAAGTAAAAATTAATAACGAGCAATGTGAATCTTTCTAAGCTATTCTTATACATATTAAATCGATATTTGCAACATAGTTCCTGATATTAGCTGAAAAACAGTGACGTACCATGATGGGGAATAAGTGATATAAAATAAAAAGTAAGTATATGAGTAATCTATATATATATCTATATGTCTATTTATATATCTATAGATATATAGATATATATAGATAGATATAGATATATAGATATATATAGATAGATATAGATATATAGATATATATAGATAGATATAGATATATAGATATATATAGATAGATATAGATATATCTGATTTCATGCAAAACTAGAAGGATGAACATCAAGTGTTTAATCTTTAATCTATGTATAAAGGGGCTGTATACAATTCCCTCCAGGGTGTGTATGTGTGTATTTACAATCTTCTTTTCTTCCAATTATGGTTTCATTTTGCTCTCGGTTAAGACATGAAGAGAACTATGGGAAAAAAACCACAAAACTTTATGCTTGCAGATCAATGCACAGGAGAAAGGCCTGAGGAATGTTACAGAATTAAAAGAAAATAAATGTGGAAGAAAAGGAGAGAGTAAGGAGAAAACAAAAGGAAAAGGAAAAATTATGAGCAGCTCTTGTAGAAAACGTCTTTTGTTGGAATGCTAAGAAGTGAGCACTTATAGACCTCTTGTGTGTTTTAGGTACAATGTCCTCTTCACTACCTCATTAAGACATCATCCAAAAAGATATACTATTTTTGAAGGGTCGAGGTCATTTATTTTATTCTTTGCATGTGATTCAAAATAGCCCTCTTTTTGTTTTCAGCATTTAAATAAGTTCAGGGACCTTACAACTATTCTGCCTTGGAATCACATTTAACAGCCCTTAGAAACTCTTGAACACGCTATTGGTGCTCTGCTAAGAGAAATCAGGTGCCCTGAATTGATTAGAGATCCTTTTTAGAGGTGCCTTTCAGACACATTAGTTACACATCAAAGACAATGCTTTACCTATTCAAAAAGTGAAGTATCTTTATGAAGCCATTCAAACTCCAAAATTCTTAGTATACAAAAGGCTGTGAGAGTCTTATTGAGAACAATATGCCAGTAACTCTAATTGCCTGAAAAATTAGGTGTCTGATTTGTATTAATTTTGTACCAGGTCAGAATAGTATTTTTTCTATAAAAGATTACAATCTAAGACAGATATCTGAGTGACCTACCATGTAAACAAGCTGAAAAGACATGAACCAGGATAATTTCATGATTAGTAAACACAAAGGAACTATCTTCTTGTTTGATGGAGTGAGCTATTCATCTAGAGAGGGCTGAGCTGTGTAATCAGAAATTGGAGGCTGGTAATGGAGGTCAGAAAGGTTTTCCACCTTGAAGTGAGAACCGGAATGGATTTCCACTTTTGAAGATAGAAAAGTTTTTTAGGAATAGATTTCAGAAGATGAACAGAGACTTAAAAACAGCTGAGGTCATAGAAAAAGAGGATATGTAGAAAATATTCTTCCACAAGTGACACAATATTCTAAGCATGGTAATTATAAATGATAGATTTGACTTATGAGAGAATATTAATAAATATCATATTTACATTAATTTTTTGTTACTATGATTAATATGAAAGAAAAAGTCATTTAATACCAGTTTAATACTAAAACAAATTATTGAAATTCCTAAATAATATAATATTAGCAACTTCTTTAACTCCTGAGGCTTTAAAGTCAACACATTGAAACATTTAATAACTCCAGTGTTTGTATTCTATCATACCTCTGAGAAGCTGACAACTACCTGAAGCCCTCTGCATACTTTGAAATGTCAGACCACTATGCCTGATGGTTCATCATTTTTATTCATTTACTTTTTCCTGCTAAATGCCAGCATTTATCTTGGAACCTTGCTAGGTGAGAAGCAAACTGTCTGTATCTTTAGGGTTCTGTCTGAAATAGCCCCAAACTGGCTAACTCCTCCATGAAACACTGGCTGCCAGTATCTGAAACCCCCTCACTCTTCAATCTCCTGCACCCCAGCAATTTACACCTATGTCAGGGATGTCCTTACTCATTGCAGGGGATGTGGGTCACTTGAAAACTCTCAGCCTCTTTCAAAATAGTCTCTCTGCATTTGGGGTTTTACTATTCAAAGGTAGAAGCCAAAAAAAAAAAAAATCCCTTTACCAGGCTACCCTCCATCTAAGAAGGCAGGTTTAGCCAATCAGGCAGAGTATCCAAGACTCAGACTCAGGAAAAAAACAAAGTGAGGAGCAAGCCACATGCAGGGGCATCAGTCTTCTGGCCATTGCAGCACCAGAACAGAGATGTGTGTTTCTTCAGGGCAGCACTGGAAGAGGTTCTGGTATCTTCTGCCAAACAGTAGCATTTGGTTAGAGCAGTCCCTGAGGCATGGTTGGTTACTGTTTCTGCAGAAACAGCTTCAGGGCCTGATTCTCTTGCCCTTTAGAATGGTAGTTAATATCCCCCAATAAATTACTTTTCTGTATCTAAATAATAAACATGACAGAAAAGTTGCCAAAAATTTTATTTCTCTCTCCCTCTGATATGGTTTGACTCTGTGTCCCCACCCACATCTCATCTCAAATTGTAATCCCCACATGTCAAGGGAGGAAGCTGGTGGGAAGTGATTGGTTCCTGGGGGCCGTTTACCCCATGCTGTTCTCGTGATAGTGAGGGAGTTCTCATGAGGAGCATGAGAAGTGATAGTTTTAAAAGTGTGGCACTCACCCTGTCTAGCTCTCTTTTTCCTGTCGCCTTGTGAAGAAGGTGCCTGCTCCCCCTTTGCCTTCCACCATGATTGTAAGTTTCCCGAGGTCTCCACAGCCACGTGGAAGTGTGAGTCAATTAAATCTCTTTTGTTTGTAAATTACCCAGCTGCATGTAGTAACTTAATAGCAATGTGAAGATGAACTAATACACCCTCATTACATGAATATTATATAGAATTAAACTATTCTTTACATACACACATCCGTGTATATATTTGACACATTTTATTCAAATATAAAAGAATATGTTATCTTTTATTAACACAAAATAATGAAATCATTTATTCTATGGGCTTGTGATTTTTATTTTAAATATGTTTCCCTTTTGTAGGTTTGCACCTCTTAAAAATGACTTAATCCCTAATATAGAGAATTTTATATATATATATATATATATATTTAGTAGGCAAGAGAAATGAGATATTATTGTAACATGACTTTATGAAGTAATTGTTATTGTCTCAAGAGTTAGAGGACAGTGTAAAATAGTGGAAAACTCATTAGATTTGGTACTAAATTAATATAAGAACTTCAGGTTTTTTCACTTACTGGGTACATTATGTAAATAATATCTTCCTAATTGGTAAAATTGTGGAAGCTTTTTCCTTTATTACCTAAATTTCATGGCTATTGTAATGATTCAGTTAAGAATATACATTGGAAATATGCTATGTAAATTGTAAACTGATTCAAAAATCGAGATTATTAATGTAAAAATGTACATTGATTATATTGCTGATACTGTCTTATCAGTTACACTGAAAATATTCTATTTTAAATTTCTTGTTGGGGGTCCCTGGTTTGTCTGTTGTCAAATGGATACTACCGGTTCCTATTATAGATTCTCTCTCTATTACTTAGAAAATGTAGAAGCTACACTTTCCAAAATTGCCTTACTTGCATGACCCTGGCTTAGAAGTCCAGTGAGAGAAAATGTGTACAATTTTGGAAGGTAAAGAAAGAAATTCTGGTTTTTTTCCTAGAGACATATACAGCCTAGGTGTAGGCAGATGTGAAATGAACAGTTGCTTCCTAATGATATCCTGAGAATTAGTCATTTCACTGGTGCAAATTGAAGCAGTTGGTGGTTGCTTTTCAAAGACTCTTCAAAATTGTAGCAAACAGCTTTGCCAGTGATAACACTGGTATGATGTACTGACAAGAGTACAACACTGCTTCTGTGGCATTCTGGCCAACCATGCATTACCTGAGTATAATCATGAGTAAAAATCAGGCAATCATAAATTAACAGACATTCTGCCAATGCTTTTTAAAACTGCCAATGACTCAAAGACAAAGGAAAAAGAATCTGAAGATATGTAATGAGTGGAGGAGATTGAGGAGACATGGCAACACTAATGTGATGTGGAAACTTGGAATAGACTCTGGATTAGAAAATAAAAAGCATTAGTGAGAAACTGGTAAAATTTGAATAAAATCTATAGATTAGTAGTACTGTGTCAGTGTTAATTTCCTTGTTTTAATAATTATACAATGGTTATGCAAAATGTTAACATTAGTAGAAGCTGTGAGAAGGAATTCTGTACTATTGGTATTATTTTTATAACTTTTCTGTAAGTCTAAACTTATTCCAAAATAAAATGATAAAAAAATGCCAGTGACTTTCTGGCTTTTGAAAATTATCTATTTCAGTGTTTTAAACTGAGGACGTCAGTGTTGGATTCTCTCATTTTTCTCCTTCAGGTCTGCCAAGTCTTATAAATTCCTAATTACATATGTAAAACCTTTGTTATTTTTAATATTTAGAGCAGATTGAGTAATACAGTCTGGATATCAAAAATGGTTTCAAGAAAAAAATGATACTATATGAAAGATGGGAATCTAGAATTGTTTCCCTGATCTAATTTGAATACTTGAAGTTATATTAATCTCTTTAAAGATTAAAAGAAAACACAATAATTATTCTATGATTAGAACCCTAGAATAGAGAGAGATTGAGATGATGCTAAAATAGGTGAAAAATGGCAAGTCTCTAATGAAATCAATGTAATCAATCATCTAATCACTAATCTCTAATGTCTTGTAGCATGTGTTTGCTGCTGCTGTAATTTACAAAACTATGATTAAGTATTAATGTTAATTTTAAACCATAATTACTGGAGAATGCAGTGTATAACTGTTTCTGAAAAAGCTTTATTCAAAGTGACACATTAAAATATTGTTCCTCTAGAGATAATTGGCAATGAAACTCATTTAAAATCTCGTTAACCATGTAAATATAATTGTAAAAAGTCCTTGGTAATTCTCTTATTTACGCAAATGTGTATATCAATTTAAGCAGCCAATAAGTATTGGAGCTGTAGCATTCTTACTTTAAGCCAGTAAAATTCCATGCAACATGAAATGAATCCACCAGCATTAATTACACTGTTCATTAAATGAGTTAGAAAACAAATATACATATAGGATCTTGAGAAATTATTATGCATATATCTTCACAATTCCTTGTTCAGGATATCATATGGAACATTTACACCAGACAAATCAGCAAACACAATGTATTAGGGATTTTAAATTTATTTTCTAAGATTTTGGAAAGTCAGTTGATAAACATGTATCAGCATAGGACAAACTGAGGACCATCTTTAGAAACTAGTCATTATAAACACCTTCTATTTTATGCAAGTATTCTTTAAAATAAAAGAAGAGCTTATGAGTTTTCCAGATATAGATTATGTACTAACACACGATTAAAATATTATTTTCGAAAAATTTGATACACTTACTGACGGAAGTTGAAATTGGGATATGTTTATCTGGCATTCAAAAATAGGACATAATAGGCTGGGCACAGTGGCTCTCATCTGTAATCCCAGCACTTTGGAAGGCCGAGGGGCATGGATGATGAGGTCAGGAGTTCAAGACCAGCCTGGCCAAAATAATGAAACCCTGTCTCTACTAAAAATTCAAAAAAATTAGCCAGGCTGGTGGCAGGTACCTGTAATCCCAGCTATTCAGGAGGCTGAGGCAGGAGAATCGCTTGAACCCAGGAGGCAGAGGTTGCAGTGAGCAGAGATGGTGCCATTGCACTCCAGCCCAGGTGACAGTGGGAGACTCTGACAAGAAAAAAAAAAAAAAAGAAGAAGAAGAAAAGAAAATAGGACATCATATATAACTAATAGTTTACCTTGTTACTTGCTGATATTTGGTGCTAAATTTTCATATATATTAAAGGTATTTCACACCTTTCCTAAAATCAGATTTTGTTTAATAATAGCCAAGCTATTTTAATCTGAGGAGTATGTTACTCTTCAGCAGACATAGGAACAATAACCAAAGGGTGACTAAAATTTCAGTTTAGTAAACTTAATACGCAACAACTATTTGAGAAAAAAGAACAAGTATTTTTTGTAACAGAATTTCCAAGTAACAGAAGTGTGTAACCCAAGGCTTTCTCTTTGATTTTCTATATTCCATTTAGATTAAGCTCCTGATTATAATCATACTGATAGATTAAATATTATGGAGACAAATTCCTAATAACAATTTTCTTTTTAATCTATAAGTTTTTGCACTTTTTCCTATTGGAAATCTGGAAAATGGCTTCCAAATATGAATGACTTCCAGATAACATATAATTAAACAATTGCATATAGATAATGTATTATTTTTATAAGCAATATATACTAGTAACATAGAAAGTAGACATTTTAGCATGACTTTACCAGTGGGATCTGCTTCAAGACTCTGTGTAAATTGATTTTATATTTGATCTGAACAAAGGGTAACAGTATTTGTTTTCTCTAAACAGGGTTATTAGCATTTGGTCTGACTTTAATACTTTCCAGTCCATTTAACTCGGCAAAGAGTTTCTAAGCACAATGTAGTGAATGAAAGTCTGAATAAAACAAGATCAAAATATTATTTAAAGTGGCTTCAGTTTTCTTTAAATTTTCTTCCTGTAATATATGTTAAATAAAATAAATAACACAGGAAAAATTAGAATTAAAACAGAAAAAGGAGAATTGATAGTATCATGACACAAAACCTGTTGAATATGGAAAACATGAGGGTAGAATATAGAATACCATGTGAGAAAAATACCATAGTAAAATACATAGAAGGTGAAACAAAATTGCTGAAGGCCCACATTCTTGGGCTCTTTACAAAGCTTGACTCAATAAATTATCACAACATTCATTATCATTATATATATTTTAAAGCAAAGGCATACAAGGCATGTAAAAGTAATACAATGTATCAAAATTACACAATTTGTAGGTAAAAGTGTTTGAACTTGGCTCTAGATTTTTCTAATTTTATGAGCCTTGAATATTTTAAAATACTATCTGTTTTCAATGTAAAATATGCGTTCATTGACAATGGTATGAAGAGGGAATATTCTCTGGTTTCAATCACAAGAAAGTTGGTTTTTTTGAGTAGTCTTAATTTTCTTCTACATTAAGCATCTTAATTTTCAAATATAACTATCTGTGGTAATTATGGGCAGATTTAATATGTTTATGCCTCATATTAGTACATATAAACAGGAGAAGAACTGAATGACATTTCTGCATTACTTCTATACATAAAGTTCCATAGTTAGTTATATCGTCTCATTCATCTTTTTAAAAAGTGACTGGAATTATTATTCTTCCTTGAAAATCCATTTACTCCAAGCATATAAAGCATATACTACATAATTATAATCATTTTGTCCAATGAATAACATTGAAGCTTAAACGCATAAGAAATTTAAGTAATATGAAAAATATTTGACTTTAAAAATATAGAGATAGAATTTCTGAGGGACAATTTCTGGAGTTTTAAAATTTAATTTTAGGGAGAGTGCTTGGATTCATTGTAATAATTGTCAAATGACAGGACTAATTTCTTATTAGATAGAAGGTTGACAGTTAATCATATCACTTTGGGCTTGGGAAATGGAGGCTTCAATAATTATTCTTTATGCAAAATGTCATTTGTTAAAGAAATCTGCATATACACAAATCATGATTAAAGCATAATTTAGGATGTGTGTGTGTGTGTTTGTGTGTATCAAGTTGAAGATCACATAAAACATTTAGGCCACAATATTCATGGCAATTAAATGAACTAGATGACAATTTTAATCTCTAGAATTCTGAACTTTTGGCTATTTGTATGAATATTACGTTCCTTTAAAACATATTAAAATTTGTGTGACTCTGGGAAATTGCATTACATTTTTGTCTTCAGTTTTCTTTTCTGTATAATAAGCATAATATAGTGACCATGATGGTTAAGTGAGCAAAAACAATGAAAAAATTTCATGAATATTAGCAGGTTCTTAATAGTTTTGTAAAGGAACATATTTATTGACTTACACGTTATCTTTTTTCCTTTGATCTTTTATTTGAATTGAAAGTTAGAGTCCCTAACTTTTTCCAGTAGATGAGGTATATAATAATAAATGCCTTTAAAGAAAGGGGTTCTCCACCTTCCCACAACATATGTATTCAGAAGCATACATAATCAAAAATGCTTTTTATAGCTTAGAGGCCAATCTCTTAAGGTCTAGTTTATATGAGTAAACAAAAATAGACACTACCATGTTCAAAGCATTTTTGTGTATTTTTTTAAACAGGAATATCAAGCAAACATCCTAATTATAGGTGAAATATAAAGATTATTTTTATAAACTCCAAGAAAATTAAAAGAATCTCTGCAAAAATCAGTGGTATTCAACATTGTACTGGAGGTCCTAGACAATGGTAGAAAAAAAATAGTTTGCTTTTGAAGTGAAAGGATTCACTTTTGTTATACCAACTTATGGATAATAATTTTGGATCTCAAAAATAAAATCACTTTATATATTATGTATATATACATATACACATATACTTATATAGCTGAAGGTGTATAATATTAAATAAAACATTTATAAAACAAAAACATAGTGGAAACGTGACTCCAAATTTGTATATGATTTGTAAAGGCAGCATCTGCCTTGACCAGTGTTTTTTGTTTCCCTAATATTGTTTGGTAACATGGATGGCAGAAATCAAAACCTTGGGAAATGTTGTCTTACACCTTCAGAAACATAACAGGCAGGCAAAAAATTTCACCCTGCACATGAACTCAAACAATGACAATGGCATGAGAAAATTAGCCACCATAAAAAAAAAAAAAACTACAGTGAGAGAAATTGTCAAAGCAAATTTGGGTCATCAAAGATTTTAGATATTTGAAGTTTTAGCAAAAACATAAAATAGTGATGTCAAAAACATATTAAAACATGACTTTCAGAAATTAACAACTCAATGAATGAACTTTAAAGAGAACTAGACAAATCTGGAGAATTAGTCAACTAAAAGAAAATGCTAAATAAATTATCCAAAATACAGTACAAAGACACAAGAGATAGGAAATATGCAGGATAACTTAAAATATACAAATAATTGGGGGGAGGAGCCAAGATGGCTGAATAGGAACAGCTCCGGTCTACAGCTCCCAGCGTGAGCGACGCAGAAGACGGGTGATTTCTGCATTTCCATCTGAGGTACCGGGTTCATCTCACTAGGGAGTGCCAGACAGTGGGGGCAGGTCAGTGGGTGCGCGCACCGTGCGCGAGCCGAAGCAGAGCGAGGCATTGCCTCACTTGGGAAGCGCAAGGGGTCAGGGAGTTCCCTTTCCTAGTCAAAGAAAGGGGTGACAGACGGCACCTGGAAAATCGGGTCACTCCCACCTGAATACTGCGCTTTTCCGACAGGCTTAAAAAACGGCGCATCACGAGATTATATCCCGCACCTGGCTCGGAGGGTCCTACGCCCACGGAGTCTCGCTGATTGCTAGCACAGCAGTCTGAGATCAAACTGCAAGGCGGCAGTGAGGCTGGGGGAGGGGCGTCCGCCATTGCCCAGGCTTGCTTAGGTAAACAAAGCATTTGGGAATCTCGAACTGGGTGGAGCCCACCACAGCTCAAGGAGGCCTGCCTGCCTCCGTAGGCTCCACCTCTGGGGGCAGGGCACAGACAAACAAAAAGACAGCAGTAACCTCTGCAGACTTAAATGTCCCTGTCTGACAGCTTTGAAGAGAGCAGTGGTTCTCCCAGTACGCAGCTGGAGATCTGAGAACGGGCAGACTGCCTCCTCAAGTGGGTCCCTGACCCCTGACCCCCGAGCAGCCTAACTGGGAGGCACCCCCAGCAGGGGCACACTGACACCTCACAAGGCAGGGTATTCCAACAGACCTGCAGCTGAGGGTCCTGTCTGTTAGAAGGAAAACTAACAAACAGAAAGGACATCCACACCAAAAACCCATCTGTACATCACCATCATCAAAGACCAAAAGTAGATAAAACCACAAAGATGGGGAAAAAACAGAACAGAAAAACTGGAAGCTCTAAAAAGCAGAGCGCCTCTCCTCCTCCAAAGGAACACAGTTCCTCACCAGCAATGGAACAAAGCTGAATGGAGAACGACTTTGACGAGCTGAGAGAAGAAGGCTTCAGACTAACAAGGCTGAATCTCTTGTTAGGAACAAATGCAGCTGGTGACTTTAAGGTGAAGCTTGTATTTATTTACCGTTCCGCAAATCCTACAGCCCTTAAGATTTATATTAAATCCACTCTGCCTGTGCTCTATAAATGGAACACAAAAGACTTGAAGTTAGTACATGTGTTTACAGCATGATTTCCTGAATATTTTAAGCCCGCTGTTGAGAACTACTCCTCAGAAAATCAGTAGCTTCTTTCAACATATTACTGCTCATTGATAATGCATATTGTCAGCAAAGACTTCTGCTGGAGATATACGAGATTAATGTTTTTCTGCCTGCTAACACAATATTCATTCTGCAACCCATGGATCAAAGACTAATTCTGACTTTAGGTTTTATTATTTGAGAAATACACTATGTAAGACTAGAATAGGCAGGGATTCCTTTGATCTAGGCAAAGTAAATTAGAAACCTTTTGGAAAAGATTCACCATTCTAGATATCAACAACATTTTTTATTCATGGAGGATGTCAAAATATCAACATTAGCAGGAGTTTAGAAGAAATTGATTCCAACCCTCATGGAGGATGACCTTGAAACCGTCAAGACTTCAGTGGTGGATGTAACTACAGATGTGGTAGAAATAGCAAGAGAACTAGAACTAGAAGTGGAGCCTGAAGATGTGACTAAGTTTTCACAATCTCGTAATAAAACTTGAACAGATGAGAACTTGCATCTTTAGGTTGAGCAAAGAAAGTGGTTTCTTGAGATGGAATTTACTCCTGTAAAGGATGCTGTAAACATTATCAATATGACAACAAAAAATTTAGAGTATTACATAAACTTATTTGGTAAAAACAGCAGCAAGTTTCAAGAGGACAGACCAATTTTGAAAGAAGTTCTACTGTGGATAAAATGTTATCAAAAAAACAACATCACATATTTGTTGTTTTTATTTTAAATCAAAGTATGTTTATTGTTTTCTTAACCATAATGTTATTTCACACTTAATCAACTACAGTATAGTGTAAACATAAATTTTTATATTCAGGGAAAAACCAAAGAAAAAAATAAAATGAGTCCTTATTGTGATACTTGCTTTATTATGGTGATCTGGAATCAAACTTGCCATATCTCCATGGTATGCCTTTACTTGAAAGTCTCCAAGAGTGTAGATCTGAAATATTTTTACCACACACAAACTAATAGTAACTATGTGAAGTGATGGATGTTAATTAGCTTGATTGTGGTAATTGTTTCAAAATATGTGTGTATATTATAATATTACATTGTAAATCTTAAATATATATAATTTTGTCAATTATACTTTAATAAGGCTTGGAAAAATAAAATTATAATAGTTATTGAAAGAATAAATAAATATCAAAGATTTACAGTTTTATAGCTATAAGTTTCAGTTTTATGAATATAATAGTATATGTCAAATGGTGCTTTGCTTTCCTTTTTAAGAGTTAGTTTATTATTTTCTCATTTTATTTTTAAATTTTTCATTCTTTTATGAGGTGGATAAATGGAAATCATTCATTTCATTAATATTAGAAAATAGAAAATCATCTTTGTTACATTCTTTGTACATATTTCTGAGACTGTTTTACATATATTTTTATTGTTTTACCTATAGTCTACAGTTGCTTTTGCACAACCGTGGATCAAGAATGATCAGAAAAAACAAAAACAAAAAGCAAAACAACAATAAAAATCATTCAAATTTTAAAAAATACAGTATAACAATTATTTATATAGCATTTACATTGTATTAGGTATTATAAGTAATATAGAGGCAATTTAAAGTGCAAGGAAGGAAGTACAGAAGTCATGTGATGCTATGCCGTTTTATTTAATGAAATTGAGGACCTGCTGATTTTGGTATTTGTGGGAAGTTCTGGAACAAATCCCCCATGGATATCAAGAGATGACTGTATATATTTTAAAATCCACAAGGCCTGTATTGTTTATTTGTAGGGTCAATTTTCAGTTAGTATTGTTTTATATATACCAAACACCTTTTTAAAATTGTCTCTCACTCCTCAGTGCAATTTTGTTTTTCCCTCTGCTTTTGGTTTTGTATTTTGTTTCTTTGCTTGTTTTTCATTATTACTCTTTCAAGTACTGGTTATAGTAAAGCTGGTTCGTAGGTGATGAACAATCTCAGTTTTGCTTGTCTAAATAGATCCTCAGTATTTTTTTTCCGGTTTTGAAGCATATTTACACTAAATTTATAAATTTTATTTGGCTCTTAAACACTTTAAATACAGCATTTAATTGTTTACTGGGTTTCACAATACTTTATAGCTATCAGGGAAGTGTCTTATTCTTGCTTTCATAAAAACAATGTCTATGTTTTTGGGGTTAGTAGTTTTTTGAGGCGGGGGAGGGACGGAATTATCTCACTCTGTCTCCCAGGCTAGAGTGCAATGGTGCGATCTCGGCTCACTGCAACCTCCGCCACAGTTTTGTAAACCAACAACAAATATTTATTTTAAAGAAGTGATTTTTTTGCCATAATTTTAACAGAGCTTTTTGTAATATGTGGGAAGAAAGCTGGTAGATGTTCAGTTTATTATATGAGATTATATATCTTTAAAAATTACTATGCATTAAACTCCATGGGTTTTCTTAAAGTTATTTTTAAATTGTAGTTTTGCCATTAAAGATATCAGTTGAGAGATGTTTAAGAGAACTAAATTACTTTTGATTCTATATTATTCAAGGATATAACTTACAAAAGCTATTGTTTCATAGGATTCTACGTATATAAAGATAATACTGCATTATCACTGTAAAATAGACAGACACAATACTTTCTAATCTATAAATATGGAAATTATAATTAACAGTTATTCAAAGTTCATAGGATAACGAATGGAGAAGTAGGAGCTTAAACACAGAGTTTCTCACCAGGGCACTATTGACAATTTGAGTGCAACAATTCTTTGAAAAGGACTGATACAAATGCTACGGAATGTTTGGTATCCTTGATTCCTTTCACCACGTTTCATAAATAACTCTCCCCAGTCCTCCCAATTATGATGTTCTACCAACTGCATGTGAGTACAGTACCTCTCCTTGGCTTGAGGACAACTGAATTCATGGCAAAGAATCTCAGGGTTTTACTAAAATGTTTCCGCATAATGTTGCCACTATAGACCATTTTGCTATTTTTGCCATTCTGCCTATCAGCAATTATAATTATTTCATAATTATAAGTTTTACAATATTTGTTGCATGTTTTTGTTCCATGATATTTGTTGTTCATTTATTGACAGTATCTTTAAGTCTCACTTGTCAGGATGAGCAAAGACTTACAAAAGAAGGCACAGAATGACACACAAATTATTACAGTTACTTCCAAGAGATGCATTGCACTAGTTGACAAAAATGAATTTAGGAAGTTACATGACGCTATGTATTAAATAACCAAAAACAGCACTGCAGGCCTTATAGCTTTTCATTTGTTCATATATTTCTTAATTTTTTTCGTGGAACACAGTTGGGGAAACTTTAGCTACTACAAGTTTATGTGGCAGGGACCATTTCTGCTTATTAGGTCGATTTGAAAAGCTTAATCTTCAGCTCTGCAGATTATGTTCACTAGACTTAATCCCATGAATCCTAGGTCCAAACTTCACGTAATTTTATTCATTTGGTAAAGTTAAAATCTCAAGCTAAACAAATCATGAATAGAAAACTCCCTAATGCGCTATATTCCTTCATCTTACCAGACTACACTCATTTGAGGTTTTCAAATTCAATCTTTTTCAAATATTTCTGTTTATAAACTTCATGATTATTTCTATAATTCACAATAATTGTAATATAATTTTACTCTTCATTTGTTAAATTTAGAAAGTGCTTATTTATTCTCCACAAAATATTTACTATTTTCACAATAAATAATAATATTTAACACATAACCACATCTTCCATCTCTTTTTTACTACGTTTTAGACATATTTTTTACTTGCATTTATATGTATGTATGTATTTGTGTGTGTATACATACATATGCATATCTTGCATTTTATGTAGACCACATAATTTGTCATTCTCCAGTACAAAACTGAAGTTCAAGCATTCTCAAATTACTCATTTTATTTTCATGATAAAGAAGTATGCTTTACAGGCAAACGTCCTCACTAACTTATTCTTATTGTCAGAAAGAGGAGGTGGAGACAATTTCTAGTTTTTAAATATTATGCAAATTAACTAGGCTTGTTGTTCCAATCTTCCTTATTTCAGTTAATCCACCCAATTTTAATAAATAATTTATTGTACATGCATACTGAGAAGGAGCATTTCCAAAACTTATGTATTCTGTGGTTGCTATACTAAGGTTTCATTATTGTAAAAATAGGTGTTTATCATACAAACAAATAAAACATTATTATATATGTTTTTATATATACAACATATGCTCAGTTACTTTTTACCCTCATTTCTAAATTTTTATTCTTTTTGTTTGCCCCTTTCCTAGGATTCATAAGTATGTTTGACATGTGACTATTTATACACTCTGATAAACGTATTATTTTATTAAATTCTATTGTACTAAAATTGTAAATTACTTTCTGCTTTTACATTTCCACATGATACTTTTAAGACAATGTTTTTGTGTTCATTATTTCTAAATAATGTCTGGCAATGCATTTTTATAGAAGTTCCCCTGCTATTTCTCCATCTTCCCGTGTACATCTTGTATCAACTAACTGCCTACACAAAACAAAAGCGATAACAAAAACAAGAAAACATAAAAATAATAAAAAATAGTTCTGTGAGTGATCCCTTGTGGTTATCTAAAATGTCTCTGGAATATATATCTTGAAGTGCAATAATAAGGAGTGAAGTTCCCTTTTTTCCTTTCTTCCTCCTGTAAATATGGGGGCATTGTTAAGAATATGTTCATTACTTCGCTATGGAATTATGTGACTGAAATATGTTTCTGGCATTATTATAAGGAAATCATTCTTCATCAGAGTAATTAATAATCTTCAACATTTAAGGAATTGTGTTTTTCTTTTCTTTTTACTAGATCTGTCAGATTTAAATTTGTTATTTACCCTTTACAAGTATATGGTTTATAAAAATGCATTTTAATTAGCTTCAAATCTATCTCATTTTTAGTGTCTTGCTCTTGCTTGTTCCCTCTTTGTATGTATTACTTTTTTACACTACACTTTAGCTTGCTCTATTTTCTGATTTTATCTCAGCAACCTTGTTTTATTTAAAGGTGGTATATAAATATATATGTCCTACATATATTTATAAAGAAAATAAATTATACAACACAAAATGAGGCACTCTACACGTATTTTTCTATTTACATTTGGCTGAAAAATAGGATGTAGAAATACCTTAGTGAAACATTTTTACTATTTCAGTAAATTGCACTACTTTGAAGTAGAATGCTCCCTGTTTGCTAATGTTATTCTATTACTGTCTTTCATTCTATGCTAAATAAAATCTGTTCCATATATTTGATTTAATATATTGAAATATACTATATCACATGTAGCATTTAAGCACATATTATTCTGAATGTAACACATAAAATGTTTATAAAATAAAACAAATTTGATTTGGTTCTTACTATTGAATTATGGATGAGTGAATTTACTTGTTTTTGTCATCCAATTGTTTATGTTTAAATAAACATGTTTAATAATATTATTGAAGGGTTTAAAAGACCTTTTAAGTTTAAAAACCATGCATTTATTTTGAAAAAGACATGGCATATTTTTTAAATCAAATTACTTGCTTGATAGTACAAGGAAAATTCGATAATTTGTAATTGACTCTTTTATATCATGGAAAATATGGCTATGTTGTAACCAAAAATTACGGAAAGTTAAATCATTGTGATATAAAAAACAAAAATGATTTATTAAGAATGTTCAAGCAACTTTGTGCCTTATATTATTCCTATAGATTCCAGTAGAAAAGCTAAATTACTTTTAAGTATTTTAAATTATTCAGTGTATTTCTTTCACCTCTCTGAACATATATGGCTTAAAAATACTATTCAAACAATCCTATCCCAACATGTGTCTCTTTTTTCCTTTCTAGGCAATTTATATGATTAGTAGTTCTCCATGTCAATATATTTCAAATAAAATTTGGTTGTTACCAACTGTACCTCACTTAATTTTAAGTTAATTAATTTCAGATAATCCTCTAGGCAAATTTTATAAATATTTGCATAATGTTTTTATTTCAGCAGATCCCAACTTTTATTGGAAAGGTAGAAGATTTTATACTTACAAACAGTTTTTGTTTTGGAACTCTAATAGGAAAAAATGTAATCATCCTTACGTTTTTTAGTTTTCAATTTTACTCAGTAGAGATGGTGCAATATTCCATCATTACTAACAGTTTTTTCAAACTCTGTGTTCTTGTTCCTATTTCCTTTTCTACTGACTGCACTATGGCAATAATGGACTTTTTCCATTTTCATTTTCTTTTCCCATCTGCCTCCTAATTTTATTCTAAAAAGTGTATTGTTTTTCTATTTATTCTCCATGGCCTTATTTTTCCTTCTTCATTTTATTATAAATTTGGCATTATTGCTTACTGTTTATTTCTAATTACCATTTACCCTTGAAATATAATTATTATTTTCCCCATACCCCAGAATATAAATGAGCTGTCCTAAGCATCATCACAATTCCCTAATCCATGCTTAAACACTTTGATTACAACAGCCTTGCTTTTAATATTCTCATCAATTTTTTTTCAGATTTTTTTCTGAGATTATTTATTAGCAAATGTTAATTTATCTGTGTGGGTGACTGAATATATCTAATTCAATTTAAAAACCCTTGGAATTATTCTTAGAATTATTTTTGATATAAATGCCTCATGAAATCAACAGGTCAAAGATAAAAAAGTTATACTTCAAGCTAAAACCTGATCCTCCATTGGAATGCAGTCTCTACAAAAAGATCTTTAGATGATAGTCTCAAATGCATATTTCAGTGCCCAAATTTTTAAAAATAACAATATTTTTGAATTAAAAAATAATATCCTTAAAGAGAAGTACTGAAATCAGCATTCAAACATAATATATAAGAATAGATACTCAAATTTATAAAAAAGCAAAATATAAAAGTTCAACAGTTTAAATCCTCACAAAGTTATAAGAAAATAATGCATCCATGTACAATTTTCTAAAATTAAAATTAATTCAATACATAGCCTACGTAGCAGAAATGACATAGTTTAAAATTCCCTTGACAGGAATATTGAGAAATATTCCTAGAATGCAGCATTATTTTTGTGGGGGAAATGAAACAAAAAGAAATTAAAAGACATGGGACATGGTCTAAAAGGATCAACTCCATGAAGAATTCCAGATATCAAAAACAGTGGAGGAAAAAATAATTTAAGGAATAGCAGAAACAATTTTTTACCACAAAAGTAAAATAAGAGTTTTCAGCCTAAAAAAAAGGGTCCTATGATTGATTAGCACAGTGCATAGTAAATAACCAAAAAGTAGGATATATTCATGAACAGAAAAAATAAAAATATTAAAAAAAGAAAACCTATGTAATTCTCAAAAAAGAAAAAAATGTTAATTATGAAGGGATGAAAATTAGATTGATCTTAGATTCTCCTTGACAGTGCTGAATAGGATAGGGAAGTTACCTTCAGATTGTGAGGAAAAGTATTTTAACCCAAATCTGTATATGGTTTCTGGGTGTTAGAGAAATACCATGTCATTTATCAGTTAAATACTGAAAATATTTCATATATACAGAAACTCTGGAAAGAATTAGTTAAGGACACATGTTAGAAAATAATGTAAAATACATGGGTGCTATTCATGAGCTTCTATGATTTAACAATGAAATCAGATATACTACTCAAACATTTCACACAAAACCTTGGTAGGTATTCTTTTCAATTAGTCTTATAATAGGATAGTGCTGCTTTAGAAGTGTCTGTGAAAGAGATGGAAACTTGGACTTACTAAGTGGCTTATTATGGGGTTGGGGTGGAGTATCACCATATTCTGATGCCCTTACTCCCCTGACCCTGAATTCCTAAGAGGAACCAGCACAACTCAAGGAAGTTAATTTTAAGTGGGTTTTAAAACTCTTCTGAAGGTAAAATTCAGAGTTCACATGAAAAATATGTATTATTTACATTCATACAGAACACACAAAATTTTGCTAAATTTAAATAACTTAAAAATATTTTATAGTGTCATAATACATGATTAACCCTTTTGAAGAGGATTAGTTTGGTTCCTACGATGACTTTGTGATATTATGCTCTGACAAAATGTAAGGTACATTATTATATTGTAAGTGAAGGTGCAAGAGTAATAACTCCTTTCTGGTTTTACCCTCCAGTATTCAATTTCCAAAATTTAATGATCTGTTATTTACTACAGGTATTGGGGAAGAAGAGTTCAGGAGTAAAAGGTGACAGAAATGAAAGCAAAGTGACTTTCACTTTATTATGTTTTAAAAATCATTAATAATATCAAATGAGTCAAGAGTAAGTCAAGAATCTGTGGCTCCACAAATAAGAACCAGAACAGGACAGCTTTATCAGTTACACTGCGATTTGGATATCTTGATGCATTGTCCCAAACACAGTTCATAGAGGCATTTAATGACAAACTTCCCTCCTGAAATGTGATGGTATTCACCTCTTTCTAAAAACTTTTACTTTGAGAACAAGAAATTGATTACTTCTAGAGTAGTGGCATATTAAATATGTGCTGACATCCCAAGTAAATTGAGAATACAATAGATAAAATAGCCCCTAATAATTTTGTTTAATGGGCACCCTTTCATTTTCTAAAATAAGTATCACAAATAAGAAGTGTATTCTATAGTTAACAAATAATGAATATTTGACTTCAAGCTTAAAAATAATCATTCAAAATGCAGGCCTGTGTTTTCAAATTTGGGGTGTGCATATCCTAGTTTAATTTTTTGGAAACAGCTAATTGGCATTGTACATCATAATATTATCTATATTGTATTCTGTAAAAACCAATAGGTGGTCAGTGAATCTTTGAGTTTATATTAATATTAAAATTGTTTGATGTTATAACTTTTACTTAAACAGTGAATTTATCTACTTGTAAGTAATTTTGTTTTCCTTATAATTGAGTTACTAATTATTGTCTAAAAATTTGTTCAAACCAACAACACACTGTAGAAAGCTATCAGATCACTCTATTTATTTTTGCTTAACTTTTTAAAAACATTTTTCACTATAAGTGAAATCAACTTAAAATTGACATTAAAATCCATTACAAGAAGGAAAAAAACAGAAACTAGCAAACTAAAGCTGAAGGATAGTTGAGTTGTAAGTAGTTTCAAGAGTCAGAAATAACACCTTAATTTCACATTATTTATCATCTAGAAACTTATTTGGAGCACTGTCAGAATATAGATTTGGACTTTCTAAGTACTTCAATTATTATTAAATGCATAAAAATCGAGTATTAAAATCTATGTAACCTTTTCTTTTAATTTTTTTAATTGGCTCACGCCTCTTTGCAATTCTTCAATTTGGTAGATACAATAACTCATCATTTCTTTCCACAATTTTCCTCAAGGCAGTCAATATCCCAATTAAAAGCAAATAAATAAATAAAAATCCCTCAGTTTAAAAGTATACTGTGCTTTGTAGATCCATCCTTTATTTTCTCTCCTGGTTAAGTAATTATATTTCAAGTTTTTTAAAGCTGCCATAACTTTTTAACCTTTCCCTTATTCTCCTTCACATAAAAAATGAAAACACATTATACACTCCCAGGGCATATAGATTTTTTTCCTTATTTTATTATTGTTGAAAAAGGCTAATGTATCAATTCAAAACCAAAATATTTCCAGAGCAACAATCCCTTTGCAGATTCTGAGGAGTAGCAGAGTTTTCATTTGCTTTAATATACTTAGAAAATTATTAGGATGAATGCTGTCATAATTAGAGTAAAAATTCATTCTGTTGTAATGAACTACACCAAATTAAGTAGGAGGTGGGACTTGACTCCAGAGGCAGAGACTTAATGTTGGACCAGACTGAAGATTACCAGAAACAGGGAAGAGGCAAAAGCCCCTCTCCCTAAGACATAATCACCAGTACCATGTCAGTTACCATTGCCATGGCAATACCAAAAACCTACCACCCCTTTCCATGGCAATGATCAAAAAGTACCACTGTTTTCTATAACATTCTAAATAATTCACCCCTTAATTTGCGTGTGATTAAAGGTGGTTGTAAATGTAACTGCAGAACTGCCTCTGAGCTGCTGTTCTGGGCACACTATGGGGTAGCCCTGCTCAGCAAAGAGCAGTGTGCACTCTTTGCCCCTGTACATTGCCCCTCCAATAAATGTTGCTAACACTACCATCTTACCCTTGGACTATTTCCTAGGTGAAGCCAAGAACCCTCCCAAGTTAAGCTCTAATTTTGGGGCTCACCTGCCCTGCAGCAAAATCTCTGTGTATTAATTCAGAAACAACTTAGTTCTTGTTCATACAAAGTCCAATGTAGACATTTCCTGTAGGCAAGATTTCTACCAGAAATGATTCAGAGATACTGGTTTCCTTCCATTATAGCTCTAATATCTTTACTGGAGACCAATAAATTATCTGCAAAATGAAAAAGAGATAAAAAATGCAAATGAGAGGTTTTTATGGGACTATTAAGGAAGCATATTACATCACTTAAATTTTTCACGGACTAGAACTAGTCATTTGAATGTAGCTATCTGTGAATGACTAGAAAATGTAGTCTTAATCTTATGCCTTATTAGGCCCATAAAAGAGCCTGATAAGTTGTATATATTCATATATAAATTCTTATATATATGTATATGAATGTGTAGAAGCAATTGGATATAATTTGAAGATAATGTAAAACTTTTATTTAGAACAATGACTTTTGCTTTCCTGTCTCATTCTTTTTTTCATATATTTTGTTTTTAATTCATATATAATTGTAGATATTTCGCTATGTGTCTGCATTGTATAATGATCAAATCAGGATCAGTAGCAAATCTATCACCCTAAACATTTGTCATTTTTTGGTGATGAAAACATTAAAAATTCTCCCTTCCATCTATTTTGAAATATACAATAAATTACTGCCAACTGGTTACCCTACTGTGCAATTGAGCACCAGAACTATATCTCCTATTTAACTGTATTTTGTAACCATTGATCACCCTCACTCTGTCCCCCATCCCCTCTCATTCCTAGAAGCAAAATTGTTTGGTTTTTCTATTGAACTGTCAGTTGTTGGGGTGTTCCAATTTTTGAACTACATGTAACTAAAATATATCAAGTAATGTTTTTGTGTCACTTTTTACAAATACATTCAAATACATATATGTGCATGTGTGTACATATTTATATACATATATGTGTTTATATATGTATCATATATGTGTGTTTATGTATGTATACATACACATGCACATTCATTTTGAACTAAAGTACTGTGTGATTGATGCAGGCTAACCTCAAAATTGGGGCTCTGCCTGGGAGGGTTCTTGGCTTTGCTCAGGAAAGAATTCCAGAACAAGCCAACTGTGAAAGAAAGCAAGTTTAGTAGAGCAACAGTGTGCAGCAAAATGGCTGCTCCATAGACAGAACAGGGCTATCCCAAAGGAAGAGTGGCCCAGAGTAGCAATCGTGGAATGCCGGCTAATGATATTTATACCCACTCTTAATTATATGCTAATTAAGGGATGAATTATTCACAAACTTACCAGAAAAGGGACAGAGATTTCCCAGGACCATATAAGGTAACTTCCCTGCATTGCCATGGTGCATTGTCATGGCATGGTGCTGGTGGAGTGTCTTTAATAGTGAGCAATGAGTGCAACTAGAGGGTGTTTTTGTTGGTGTCTACTAGTTTCTGCTGGTTTGCTTACTGCATCCTGTTTTGACCGAATCCTATTTGAATTTCTCAGGGTCATACTGGAAAATAAGTCATGCTGTTTTACCTCATGGTGATAGGTATATTTATTTATTTAAAAGAAGAGCTCCACTTAGAAATAAGTAGCTCTCAACAAGGAAAATTAATTTAAACACATTAGGATTTTTCTCACACATAATTTTCACTAACTTTCCCTTATGTAAACGTCATCTTTTTTATATACTGTCCGTGTCTTTCACTGTACTATGGCTATTTTCTAGTAGATTATGAGCATATTGAAGACAGTATCTTTGGTTTCCAAAAACAAAACAAAACACTTAACATTTCTTTCGTGTAAGTAATTGGTTTTAGTAAAACATTTCTGCAGACCAGTGCCTGATAATATTGATCCTGAATTTGTGGTATCTTTATATTAGGGTTTGGTGTAGGAAACAGAAAACAATTCAGATATTTCAATTTGTAAGGAATTTAATATGGAGAACTAGGTACTTAAAATCCTGGACAAACCAAAACTAACAAACATACTAGTATACAGTCTAAACATTTGAATTATAAGATGTATTATGAATAAAATGCATTTTATTACACATAGCAAGACCCCACTACTAAATTTACTATTAAAGATCTATATAAAACAGGGATGCAGAGGCTCTCATAGCCAAAAGTAAACTCATGTATTTCATTGATATTCTTGTAGGCACTAACTTCAGAACTTCAAGTTTTGTCAAAGATATAAGCCGTCTCAAAAGCTTCAGGCTGTCTCCTTTTTTTCTCGATTGCGATGATCTGTTTTCTCACAATTCATTTGGGAATCACCTTCCTGTCACCATGAAAATCTATATTGTATTTTCACAATGTAAAACAGTGAGAGAAATAAGCCCAACTTCGGGCACCACAAATTTAGCTGCAAATTTCCAGTTGCATCTATCATTTCAATAATCAGGGCACTCAGTAGATGATTTCAATTTCTTTGTGAACTTCACCAAATCTAGCATCCCAAGATCAATTACCGTGTTGATTGGTTAAAAAAAATCAGCCGCTTGAGTGGTGGATAGGTAAAAAGAAATTAGCAACTAAGTAACACCTTCATCACAAAACAGGCTTAAAAAGTAAAATGAGCGACTCCTTGTGGAGTAGATTACACATATGATAAAGTACTTTTCCCTAATCTATGTTTTAATATAAGGAAAGCATGCCAAAGAAGACATCTAGCAGGATATCTTAATAGGTAAAAAACACTGAGCCATGGAACATTGCTCTTAAAAAGAGGAGTGTAAGAATATATCCTTCTAAATTATTTTTCCTGGATATATCATTAAAGGTTAGACTTAATTACAAACATGGTGTATATTATAGCCTTAAATGACTCAGAAATATGTTTCTAAAAAGGTCTGTATTCAACCTCATGTGTTTTCTCTTTAAGATAATCTTAAGGCAGTGCTTTGGAATGTTTGGTCTAATCTCTATGTGTATTAGACTCATTTTGGCCCCAAATCAGACCTCCCAATGTGTCTCTAAAGTTACCTGTATGCCTATTACATTGCCTACAAGAAATACCTAAATGCACTTATAATTCATAAAATTATTTTTCATTATGAAATTACACATGAAGCTACTTTTAGTAAAAATTTCACACAAACCTTTGTTCTCAATGTTATGTCTAAACTGTGCAAAATCTCATTTCACAATCAGGTCTTCTCAAAATTGAATGTTATTTTATTTGCCTATACTTTAAATGTTACCTCTTGATAGTGATATTATTCCAATTGTTTGCAAACATTTAACCTGATCAATCCTAGATATACTCAGTTTTCAGTTTTTAGCCAAAGTCAGAATTTCCTTAACTCCCTCCTGCCTTTTGTGATGGATCTAAGTTCTGAGGACATCAATAGGCATGAATACCTGGTTCTTGGTCATTGTCTGACGAAACTGCACCAGCTGAGTCTTTTGTTCAACTCTCAATCTTGACCATATCCTTAATTTTGTTTACTGAGATGTCAACAATTCTTCTTAATGTGAATCATATCCCAAGTGGAATCCACTCCCACTCACAGTGGAATCTATCCAGCCAACTAAGGAACTTCTTCAGGTGTATTGTTCATGCTATCTTGATTAAACGCCCCCAAATTTATGTTTTTAAATATGTTTTAAAACATTATGTAAATTAATGTTTTTCTGTATAGTTCAGTGATGGCAGAAGTTAGAAAGGACTGTGATAGGCCCTCCTGCCTCAAGACCACTATAAAAAAATATCTAGTTTACTATTCATATGGTCTGATGCAAAAGAGAGTACTCTGAGCCTGCCAAAGGCTAAGGCTATGGAAGGAAAGTGACACTAGGTGCCTGCTCCAAATCACATCTCAAAACTTAGCTGAAGATTTCATTGACTGCCCCCATAACTCTGGATGCAGCAAAAAGGATGCAGACACCCTTCTCAGAGACCCACAGAAGAACCCAACGTTACTGCTCTATGCTATGAATCTCCTTAACTTCCTTTAGTCTGAAGGATTTAACTTATGTGGAAATAAGCATTTTACTATTTTTTTTTCTATTTTTATGGGGCCAACTTAATTATTCAGGACTTAAGATCTTGGAGACTAAAAACTATAAAACCCATATTTCTAATACTAAAACACCATCTTCATTAAAGCTCTTGGCCTTTTCCAGTGGCATAAAAACATGTTAAGAATTTTAAAATGTAAATTCCTTAAGAACAAGACAGAGCTAGATGTCTCATCTTTATCCTCTTTGTTCTTTCTTTTGCAATAAACATCCTCTGAAACAACAAAAAATGACTATAATTAAATTTGTGAATGTGTTCATTATTTTGAAGGTAATTCCTAAACATAAATCTAGAGAGGTAAAATAATTATACGAAAAAGTCTAATAATCCTCAAATTATTACTCTGACACATATACGAAAATTTGACAACAGACTATTGTATTCTGTAAACAAGAGTTTCTGTCATCAAAGGTGTATTTTTGTATAAGGAGGGTGTATATTGCAATTCTTTAGGAGTGCTTAATTTGATCAGGACATTATGTTAAGGGTCGTCTAAGATATTGACCTTATATATGTATCTCTAAAAGATAAAAAGATCATTCCATTCAATATAATTGTTTTCACATTCTTGATCCAATACAATGCACTTGTGATAAAATTACAATTTAATTTTAACATAATCACTATTTAAATAATTTTTCTTGACAAGTATTTGTCAACTAGTTTAGCTCCTTACTGAGACCATACCTAGAATTTGGTGATAGGAACATATAAAAGCCATAACAAATGATGTCATCTGATTTACTGTGGAAATTTGAGAGTATGGCTTTAAATATTGAATTGTATACTCATTATGTAACCTTGAGAAAGCTTCACAGATGTCTGTGCCTAAGACTGTTCATCAAAAAATGGTGATATGATTCCCATTTCAGAGGATTAGTTTGAGGATTGCATAAGTTAATATCCAAAGGAAACCCTAATAAATGAAAAAGCAAAAATCTAATTCTCCTGAGAAGAGGGATATAGAATTCAGCACTGTTTTTTGATCATTAGAATCAAATTTTTTCTGCTAGTTTATTAATAGCTAAAAATATGATTTATGATGGTCTTGAAAAGTTTTGAGTATATTAACTGATTTATTCATTGAATAAATATATCAAAATTGGGCTTACACTTTGATAATAAATTCTACTATATTAAAATTTTCTATTTGTAAGTTTGGAGTGATTTGTACTTTGCAGAAATTCTAAAGGATCTTTAAAAACCTGTTTAAAAAAAACAACAAATGGCAGTATTTAAGCCCTGAGAATAAAAAGTCTTACCTATTAGTCCAATCTGATAATTTTTGCCTTTTAATTGAGTTGTTTAGAGTATCATCTACTATGTATATATATATATCATCTACTATATATATCATCTACTATATATATAGTAGATGATACTCTATATGTGTATATATATATAGTAGATGATACTCTAAACAACTCAATTAAAAGGCAAAAATTATCAGATTGGACTAATAGGTAAGACTTTTTTTCTCAGAACTTAAATGCTGCCATTTGTTGTTTTTTTAATAGGTTTTTAAAGATATACATATATATATATATGTAGATGTGGTTGAGTTTAAAAGTGCCATCCAGCATCTTCCTTTTTTTTTTTTAAACGGATCTCAGCTGTTGTTCACTTTTTTTTCTTTTTACTGGACTTCTTTTGATTAAGTACTTTATATTATTTTATCTCCACTCTTAACTCCTCAGCTATAAATCTGTTATCATATTATATTTGCCACATTATAGCACATAGCACGTGTGCATATCACTGTCTCTCCTCAGGTGATATTTACTACTTCACATAGCATATGAAACCTTACTTTCATTTTCATTCTTTGGTCTTTCTGGTATTGTGATCATACATTTTATTTTCACATGTTTAATAACCACAATACAAATATTATTACTTGTTTAATAGTCAATCCTGTTTTAATGCAATTTAAACAAGGAAACTATCACATACTTACCTATATAGGTACTGTTTCTGGTGCATTTTATTTTTCTTGTTGTTGTTAAGATTCATATTTTCATCTGCTATTATTTTGTTTCTGGCTGAACAATATTCTTTAACATTTCTCGAAGTGATTCTGCTTATGATAAATTCTTTTA
The DNA here is from genome assembly GCF_000001405.40 of Homo sapiens. Lineage (NCBI taxonomy): Eukaryota > Metazoa > Chordata > Mammalia > Primates > Hominidae > Homo > Homo sapiens. Next base: position 193,188,325 of record NC_000002.12, read on the forward strand.
GATGTGTTTGCCTGAACACTATTTTACTTTCACTTTTGGAAGATATTTCTGATGAGAATTTCACTGTCATTTTATTTTTCTTCCTTTGTGACATTTTATAAAATTTGGGTTTGTTAATTCTTTTTTCTTTTCACTGCTTTTGCAATTTGTGGTATCATATTCTTCGTGTTTCTTGTGTTTGGAGTTTCTTGAGCTTCTTAAAACTGTGGACTTCTTTTCATAAAATTTCTAAAAATGTTGGCCATTATTTCTTTAATATTTTTGTTCTTTTTCTCTCTCCTCTTCATTAAGCAGAATTATGCGTATATTCTACTACTTAAAATTTTCACTCAGCTTACTGATAAACGTTCCTTTCTTTTAGACTTCCTTTCTTTTATTTTTACCTCTGTGTTTCATTTGGATAGTTTCTATTCTTATGTCTTCAAGTTAACAATTTGTTTTTCTTCTGCAATGTTCATCATGAAGCTCATTTAGTGTATTTTATCTCAGATATTATAATTTTTATTTTTATGTCTTCTTTATATATCAAGTCTCTACTTCACATTTTGTACATACAAAATGCCAAATACTATTTCACTGTCCTTTTCTGCTCATTTTAAACATCAGCATCATTTGTGTCAGTTGCAATTCATAGATTATTCTTCTCATTATAGGTTGTGTTCTCTTCTTTTTTGGATACCTGGAAATTTTTTATTGCATCCCAGACACGTGAATTTTAACTTTCTGGGTTACAAAATTGTTTTGAAATAATTTCCTGGCTAAGCATTTTAGTTCACCTTACTGCTTCTTAGGACATGATCCTATTACCTCATCTTGTTGCAATTCCAAATGTTATTACATTAAACAGGGCAGACATATTTTATGGTTATTTACAAAGTAATCTTTTTTTTTTTTGTAAAACTGTAAGTTTCCATTTGTATACTTTCTGATCTGCTCTAACAGTGATGATTCTTGGTTTTGCACTGATTTCAGTAGCAAAATTCTCAAACATCTGGTGATTTTGCCAAAGGTTCTGAATATACTGAGGCTATCGTGATTCAGTAACTTGTTTGTGGAATTTGAGAATTAATGTACTTCCTGGGTATTCCAGGTATCTGCCTTCCCCACACTACTTCACTGACCATCATACTCGCATATACTTTATGACGGCCAGGATTAATCACCATTTTGGCTGCTATAAGGAGAAGTTAGAATGACAAGGTAGATATTTACAAAGAGCCCAAATATTCAAAAAGCCACCCACCAAATTTTGAATCTTTATTCTGATCTCTGGACAGTCTAGATTATATCTATCAACAGAAAAATACTATTATGCTAGTGCATTAGAAGACAGTTCTTTACTCCATTGATTTTCCATCAAAGAGAGATATCATTTATGCTATAGAAATTTCTCAAAATATTTGGTCTGCTGATGAAATGTAATGTAATTGAAAGTTTATTTCATTTGACTGCAGATGATCTGGTCTAAATCTATGCTATTTTAAATTACTTTCTATAAGCATGAATCATCATTTACTCTATCTTAGTTAAGGATTATTAGTAAATGCCTAATTTGGAAGATATTATTTTAATAATGACAACATTTATTAGCTAAAGGAACCCATATAAAATTCAGTAGGCAATATAAAAATTATTGTGTTAAATCAAATAAAAACAAGGCATATTATATAGTGAAACAATGTATTTATAGTAGTTTTAATTGATTTTAAGTATTTTCTAATTTATTGTGGAAAATGCAATAATAATTAGAAAGATTTCTAATTTTTTTTTTTTTTGACACAGAGTCTGGCTCTGTCATCCATGTTATAGTGCAGTGGTATGATCTCTGCTCACTGCAACCTCTGTCTCCTGGGTTCAAGCAATTCTCTTGACTCAGCCTCCCAAGTAGCTGGGACTACAGGCAAGTGCCACTATGCCCAGCTAATTTTTGTATATTTTGTAGAGATGGCATTTCACATTGTTGCCCAGGCTGGTCTTGAACTCCTGAGCTCGGGTGATCCACCTGTCTCAGCCTCCCAAAGTGCTGGGATTACAGCCATGAACCACCACACCCAGCCTCTAATTCTTACTGACATTAATTTTAATTATGAAAAAAATACTGCTTCATCATCTTTCCAAATAAACGTACCAAAATTTTCTCATTTCTACAGCTTTTATTACACTTATATATAAAGCTATCTGATGTGAAAAAATAATGCAAACCATATGCATAGAAGATAATAGCAGTAATAATTGTCTAAATGTGTGGAAGGATTTCACAACATTGCTTCTACGACCAACTTCTCTAGTAGCAATTCAGAGGAAGAGAATGATCACTGATGTTGTTCAAGGATTTGGATCACTAACTATAAGTTAATTTATGGTGCATCAGTAAAAATTGCTGGTCCGAAAAATACATAAAACTTGTAAATGTCAATAAAAGTGACAAGATATTATGTGATTTTATTCCTTAATATGACCTTCTGTATTTTCAGCAGTGTATTTAATCAAAGAAAATATCAAAACAAATTGTCAACTCCCATGAGAGAAAGCAGAGAGTGTGTAACATGGAGAAAGAAGCATATTTTAATAATATAAATTGACCTTCATGTCTATGAAAATGCAGGCAGAATTTATTGAAGGCACAAGAAATACCTGTGACAAAATAAGCTTAATGAAAGCAGCTACTATAAAAAGTTTTTACGGAGAACATATTTAAATGAAAAATAGAAAAAATAAATAAGCTGCAGACTCAAGTACATTATTTCATTAAATAGTTGTAACATTCTCAACATTTATATAAAATTATATGTAGACACAACTTATAAATGTATCATGTCCTACAGAGCCTAAGTACGTCTAATTTATAAAGTGAGGAACACTCGCTTCCCAGTACACATTCACAACATTTATTATGGATATCCTCAAAAATGGTAATTTAATTCTGGACTGATTTTTCAGAAAACTATGTAATATTTAAATTGAGCACTTATCTATAGCAAGTAGGATAAATATATAAAATGCACGTTAAATTATTCGTTCATTTAAAGATCTTTGTTGAGAGCATATTTCACCATTTAAAGTGAAAACAGAAAAAAAATTAGACTTAATCCTTGATTTCATTAATATTTAATTCAGGGCTACTAATTCAGGGCTACTAATTGCTTTGTGGGCAAAAAAAGTTGGTAATTAGATATCTCAAGTAACATATGTCTAAAAACGTAATAGAAATTTTGACTTGTGATTATACTATCAAAATGAATTACAATCTATTTTACGTTGTTAGACAACTATGGCTTTAAAATTACGCTTTTAATAATTTAAATAATATATAACATAATGTGTAAGCTAAAATTAATAGTTAAATATACAGTGCATTTAGCAATATATAACATATGACAATATATAATAGTATATATTGATTTCATAATGCAGATATATTATTATTATAAATTTCATCATCATATTTTAATAAGTTTCAGAAAGAAATAGCATGGATCTTATTGTTTCATGGAAATGTGTATGTGTATTTAATTTATGTGTCTTATGACCAAATGTAAAAGCAGGAATGATATCAGGAGTAAGATAACATATTAATGAAATGAGAGCATGTCAACATTATTTTTCATCAATTATTTATATTTTATTTTACTTTTACCTATACCTTACTGACAAGTTAAATCACTTATCTAACTTCACTAAAATAATATGTGCTCTACTTGATGGAAAATTCCAGAAATTTTCCCAAATATTTTTGTAAAAATCCTAATTTAATGAAAGAAAATTATAATAATGGGTACCCCTCATGGCATATGCCAAACAGGATGCAAGTCTCTAATTAGCAAATTTATCTATTACTATTACATCACTGGACATTATTCTACATGGCATTTCAAATTATCCTTTTTGCTTATAAAATTTATCTATACACTGGAAAAAGCAGCATACCTTTGATCTTGCTTACTCAAGAGTTAATTTCCCTTCGATTATCTAATTTAATTTACACTTAAATTTAATAAATATTTTTATATTTAAATAGCACATATTATAAATACATCATTTTATAAATATATATTTATATTTAAATTTAATAGATATTCGTAGTGTTCTATAATTTATCGGGTATTGAACTGAGCACCAAGATAACAGAATTGAAGAAAACATCTATACTTCAAAAGGTTATGATTTGACATAAAATAGTACCTAAATTTCAGACTGTTCTCAAAGTACAGGTAAACTACAACTTGGTCTACTCCTAATTGTATATGAAATCATTTTATTGAAGGAAAACTAACACATACAAAAAATCACTTATTATAAAGGTAAAGTTCAGTAGATATTAGTAAATATATAATTTTGCTACCATAACTACATTCAAGTGATACAATTAAATCAACATCAAAAATGTCCTTTGTACTAATTTGCATTCAATCCTCATTCCCATCCCTTGACCTAGGCAACCACCAATCTCTATGAATTCACTTCTTAGGAATCATAAAATATGTAGTCTGTTGAGTCTGGCTTCTTTCACCTAGGATAATGTCTCTGAAATTTATTCATTTTGCAGACTTGTGTTTGCATATTTGTTTCTTTTTATTGTTGAATAGCATACCGTTGCATGGACATACCATTTGGTGTTTATCCATTAAAGTAGTCAATGGGCACTTAGATTGTCCCCAGGTTTTGGATTTTATGAATATTGCTGCTATGAACTTTCACATAGAGGTCTTTGTGTGAACATAGGTTTTTACTTTTCTTTGATAAACAGCTAAAAGCTAAGGGAAGATTGATGAATCATGTGGTAAGTGCATGTTTAACCTTGTAAGGAATTGACAAACTGTTTTCCAAATTGTTTTTACCATTTTACATTCCCACTAGCAATATATGAAAGTTCAGGCTTTTTTAAATTATTGACAACACTCATTATTTAAATCGGTGTTTTGTATTACTACCATTCTAGTGGGTATTAGTGGTATTTCATGGTGCTTTAATTTACATTTCCCTAGTGACTAAAGATGCAGAACTTTCGTGAGGTGCTTAATAGATATTTGCGTATCTTCACTGAGGAAAATTGAAATTGAAATACTTTGCCCATTTTTTATTTGGCTTGTTTGTGCTTTTATTGTTGAGTTGTAATCGTTCTTTATATACTGTGTATATATGTACTTTATCAGATATATTATTTGCAAATATGTTCAGATAATCTAGACTGGGCTTGGTTCTATATTCAGAGTCTTACAAGGCCAAAATCAAAGTGTCAGCCAGGCTAAGCTTTTATCTGGGGACTCTGGGTAAAAGGTTGCTTTCAGCTTATTCATATTGGTGGTGGAATCTAAATCTCTGCAGCTGTAGTCTGAGGTTCCTGTTTCCAGAAATTAATAATGTCTACCATTTATGTTATCTATATATTTGTTTCCCAACTTGTTATTTGACATTTGGCTTTACCTGTGTTTTTTAGGGTAGATTTAAAGAACAAAGTCCAGTTTGTTCTGTTATGATATAAGGTCTTTATACTGTAAAGAGATAGAAATTTTTGAAAATACATTTATATTTTAGAATTAATGGAACCATTTTAATTTCAGCCAACATACTGATACTTTTTAATTGTTTCTTTGTGTCTTGAAAAGAATATGCAAATATTTGTATTCTGGGTATAAAGTTCAATACATACATTTCTAATATATATATATATTTACAGGTATAAACACAAAAATAAATATTAGATATTCTTCATTTGTTAAATGTCTTAAGGTCACAAAAATCATGACTTATTTTTATTTGTTTGATTTATCACAGACTAAAGAAGATGAGTTAAATAGTCAACTACAGATGTAATTCTTTCTGAATTTTTCTTCCATTTTGTATAGAAATTGTTTTATGAATTGTGTTAATATTTATTGTATTGCTGAAAAGTATTTATGTCTAAGCTTTTCAATTGGATGTGCCTAATTTATTGATAAATTCTTCTTGTTGTCTTCTGTAATGGTATATACTTTTTGTTCAAATATGTGTAACCATTTTAATAGTTTAACTTCATCTGCTCTCTTAAATTGTATTTACTCTTTTAAATTTTCTAAATTTTTTAGATTCTCTAGTTACATGAAATATATGGTAGATTCTCTAGTTACATGAAATATATGGCTGAATGTTTGATTCATAATCAGATTTTTTATTTCTTCTTAATAAGTTTATCTCATTTTCATTTTTGATATAAAATGCATTATTTTATCATGTTTTTGAATGTTATGCTTTGTTTTCTTAATTAATTCTATTTATTCTTGACTACATATTCTGTCATTTTTGTTTGTTTTTAAAAATGTTCTTTGCTTATTTGTTTTGCCTTCCAGTTATTTATAGGTTTTCTGTTTTATTGGCTACGTTATTTTTACATTACCAACTTTGATAATACTTACTGATTCTAGCTCACTAGATTTGTAAAAATATGTTAAACTTATTTTAAGAATTTACTCTAAAATACAATTTTCAATTTTGGTTTTCATATCATTTTTCTTATTTATAAAGTTTATCCTACTCTTAGTGAGCTGAATATTTTTTATACATTATCTTTAAATAGTATCAGTTAAGCCCATCTATGAAAGACAGGGCTATCTACATGTTTCCTTGCCAATCTTTTCACTGTCTCCCCCTCATTGTCCTTGTCTATTACATTTTTATTTTTATATTATAATAGCTTATGGTATGTACTTCAAGTGTCGGAATATTAGTTCTAGTATTAAATGAATTCAGTGTTTACTACTAAGCTTTTAATTTTGTTTCCTTCTTTAATTTATAGGCTGGTGAAGCTGATTCTATGTTAATTTTTTACATTTATGACAGAGTTATGAGAATTATGTCCTCTGTAAGTACTGGCATGTTTGAAAATATTTGCTTATTTCCTTTTATAAATGAATGACAGTTTAGCTACTTTGTACAACACTTGAATCCCACTTCTTCTCTTGAAAGATTTGAAGACACGAAACTATCCATATGTTAAATATTTTTGTAGTAGTTTGAAACCAATTGAATTGTTTTACTCCTTATAATTTTTTTTTTATAAGAAGGAGTAGGAGTTCTAGAGTAGGAGTTCTAGAAACGTTTATAATTGTCAACTTTTAAACTCTTTGGTAACACATCAGTATTAACGGATCCCTGTCACTTTTTATGTAATAAATTCTTCCTTTAAATTCTAGGCTCAAGTTTCTTTTAATATTCATGTAGCTTACTTAAACTACATTTTGGAAAACATTTCTCTTTTATTTATTCTATTGTTTATGACATTTATTAAAGTATTTCATTTTTTCTTTCTGTACATTTTATTTCTCACTAATTATTTTTGTTTTATGTTCTACATGATTTCTATGAAAAATGTGCAAGCCAAAGATTTTAAATTTCATATAATTCTTTTAAAATTGTCATCCACACTTTTTATTTTGAAAATATTTTGATTACATTTTCTCTTTGACTACTATGTTTTCATTGTGATATTATATATTTTGTTTCTCATGTATTTTGCTTGTTTTTCCTGCTTTATTTTGCATAAGCAACATGTTTTGCCCTTTTTAGTATATTCACCCTTGAAATTGAGAGAGTTTTTCTTTATAGTGCATTCATTTGATGATGGATATTATGAGATAGTGACCAAAGGGATGTATATTAGTTGTAGTAAGTTAAGATTTAGTCTATTGTCACACTTGGAATTATTTAAAGACTCTATTTTTTTCATGTAACATAAATTTAGTGGACGAGTACTAGAAAGATTAAAACTATAAGATACTCTCACTTATAAAGTGAAAAAATACAGTATTTCATTTTATTTTCCCATGTTTATTTGCTAAAGATAATGCCCTCTAGCTCCATCCATGTCCCTGCAAAAGACATGATCTTGTTCCTTTTTGTGGCTGTATTGTATTCCATGGTATATATATATGTATTACATTTTCTTTTTCCAGTCTATTATTGATGGGCATTTAGGTTGATTCCATGACTTTGCCATTGTGAATAGTGCTGAAATGAACATATACATGCATGAGTCTTTAGAACAGAATGATTTATAGTTCCTTGGTTATATAACCAATAATGGGATTGCTGGGTTGAATAGTATTTCTGTCTTTAGGTATTTGAAGAATCGCCGCACTGTCTTCCACAATGGTTGAACTAATTTACACTCCCACCAATAGTATATAAGCATTCCTTTTTCTCCACAACCTCACCAGCATCTGTTGTTGTTGTTCTTTTTAATAAGTGAGATTTAAATAATAAGAACACATGGACATATAGAGGGGAACAGCATACACTGGGGCCTATCGAAGGGTGGAGGGTGGGAAGAGGGAGAAGATCAGAAAAAAAATAACTAACGGGAACAAGGGTTAATACCTGGGTGACAAAATAATCTGTACAACAAACCCCCATGACACAAGTTTACCTATATAACAAACCTGCACACGTGCCCCTGAACTTAAAATAAAAGTTAAAAAAACTATAAGATACATTATTTAGAAGACAAAGTTTTTAATTAAGTTACTGATAGCTTCAACAACAGCAGTGCCTACCATGATGGAAAGAATAGACAAAATACAAAACATATTTTGTTAGTCAGTTTTAAGATGGGCTATTTTAGACTATTCTTGAAAGATAATAAGAAATACATATTAGAAAAGATAACCTGGAAGTCATAGAAGAGTGACTGGTATAGAGTAGCATTGAGGAAATCAGATGTAGCAAGGTTTGTATTTAGTTTTCCAATATGTAAGTCAAACTTTTTGGACAAATCAAATCAAATCAAATCAAAACTAAACTAAGCAAAATAAGGACAGTTTTACAAATAAGAAATGTATACATCTTGTTGTTCCTTAAACTTCGTTATAAATGTTCCAGTAAAGTAAATGTGTGTAGGTAAAGTAAAATTTTTGATGAACAATGGAAAATCAACATTTAAAACATTCCTGAACCACATTAATACTGAGAAGTAAAATTATCTACCCAAATTTATATACAAACTTGTGCTTGCATTTTAGGAAATGCTAAATAATTTTAAACAAGAATTCAGTAATTATTCAAATACATATATATAATGTGTGTGTGTGTGTGTATATATATATATATAAATATATATATAAAATGTATGTATAGATTCTGTACAGACAGCAATGCCTAAAATAATTGGTAAGGATAGTCTACCAAATAACTGGCATATTAAAAGTTTCTAATCCAAATATGATTTTATATTTATTTAGAATCAATGCATTAATTGAAACAAAAGGAACACGCAAATTGTAAGGAGTGAAATTATTTTAAAAATTTTAAAACAAATATATTCCTGGATTGATCAGAAAAGCCTATGAGATGGACACAGGGAACTTTTGTTTTTCTGGGATGTGCACACAAAAATTTATCAATATAAAATAAATTTAAATTTGACTGGTAAGATATATTGCATGACAGAACCCTTTTCTATATAAGCATCAAAAGAAAAGCTGAAAAGTAAAACTGTACTGTGGATTCCTTTGCTTTTGGGTGTAAAACTACTTACAGTTACATCGTTCCAAATTTATTGTGTAGTCAGAGTAAAACTGCTTATTGAAATGAATTAATTTGTTATTGATTAGTATCATATATCTCGTGATTCCTTTGTCCTCAAAATTTACTACTAGAAAATGAATAATTTTTTTTCTCTGTTGGATTTTCTTCTAACAGTTTTAAAAAATACAGAATATTTTGGCTAAACACATGGACCTCCTCCCACAGTCTCCAATACAATGAATATGAAACATGACAGTTTGTTAATTTGCACACTTTGTACAGTGTGATAGCTGGTATTAATATGATAAATTTCTAAATAGTTGCTTTCACTGAAATTACTCTAAGGGTTTCCATAACCTTTCTGAACTCAGAACTGGAAGCAGAAAATTTATAAAGCTATGCTATGACACATTTTCTATCTGAGTAAAGCAGTTAGAAAATATTATCATTGTAAATCAGTTTATTTTTACTACATGATTTTAGATATTTAGACCATCGCTATGATTAATTCTAAATTTTAAAATCATCAATGATATTATGCAAATTATCTTGTGTGTACAAACATCACATCCTACATTCTCTTACTATAGTTCCTAATGTAAATTAAACAAAAAGGAAGAAATAAACTTCTGAAGCATTTGGTAGCCATAATCATATGGAGAATGTCTAGAAACAAAGAGTCTCTCATTTGGATGCACAAAAAATGTACTGTGGTTTATTTATATCAAAAACATGAAAACCTATTTCTATATAGAGGTTTGAGGAAATACTGAAAAAATGTAAAGTGATGGAATTCAATCCTTAATATAAATCTTTTAATTATTATTATTATTATTATTATTATACTTTAAGTTTTAGGGTATATGTGCACGATGTGCAGGTTTGTTACATATGTATACATGTGCCATGTTGGTGTGCTGCGCCCATTAATTTGTCATTTAGTATTAGGTATATCTCCTAATGCTACGTTATAGCAAACATATCTATCTACCTTCATCTATTTCCCTGTTTTTAAAAAGATGAAATTGAGAGTTATTGACTAATAATTTAATCAATTTTTTTCATGTCTTTCATTATAAACATTTTCTCAGAAGATGCGGGTTTTTGTGCATAGATACAACATTTAATAATGAAAATTTGGGAGCGTTAGCCTTAAATAACCCTGGAAATGATCTCCAGGATTTTGGTGGCTTTGGCAAACTCTAAAAAATCCACTGAAGCGTACCAGGATATTCTCCATACTGAAGAGACATAACTTAGAGAAATATATCTATGAGGAAAAAAATGCATATGCCTTTTGTGAAAGGAATAAGTATTGTTGTGACTTATTGTGGATCCTCACAAATATGGTTAGTATAGCCTCACAATTTTAAGGCAGTAGAGATAGATTAGAAACTAGGAATTTACCCACAAAGAGCCTCTATTTGGAAGCTTTTAGATTTTTGTGATTTTCTCTAATTTTCCTTAATCCCAACGTGAAAATAAGTTATGTACAGTATTTAGCCTTCTGAAGTAATATTATTGAGACAGAGAAAGGAAGAAACCAACCAGGCAGGCAGTTAGAGTGAATCCTCCGTACAACTCCTTCAAACCAAGAGCAGCCTGCAAATCAGTCTGCAGGTCCCAGATAGGAAAGATCCAACATCAGCAAAACTCCTTCAAACTAAGAACAGCCTAAAAATCTAGCTGCAGCCTCCAGATAAGAAAAAGCCAGCATCCTTGAATAGAAATGTCTTCTCTGTGAATCTAGATAAACAAATTTCCCTCCTTTTTTGGGCACATTTCTCTTTCCTTGGTGTGCCTTTGTCTCATTTAACAAGCTTCTTCCTGATCGGTCCTTAACTTTCACCTATTTTACATATACCTATCTTTCTGTAATTAGTACCAGGCCAAGATCCCGTGTCAAGCTTCTACTTCAGGCTCTGATTGGTTCTGGGCCAAGGTTCCAGGCCAAGGTCTCAGGCCAAGCTTTCACCTCAGCCCCGATTGGTCCTTTACACTATTTTTCCTCTTTCTGGATGGTACTTTTTCCAGGACTATCCATAAACTAATCAGCACTCACTTTCTCATTTCAAGTCCATAAAAAACCCTAGACTCAGCCTCATAGACGTCAATGCTATTTTGGGTCCCCTCTTCCTGTTGAGAGCTTTTCTGTCACTAAATAAATATGACTCTGCCTTACTCACTCTCTGATGTCTGTGTGCCTTATTTTTCTTGGTCAGGGGACAAGAACCCAGAGCTTGCAGGTGGTTGGAGTAAAAGAGCTCTAATACTGCCTCCCACTCACCAAACAACAGGAGTGAAAAAGCTGCAACACTATGATGACCTGGTGGTCAGAGAATCATTCACACCACTGGCATGAACATAAAAGAACTATGCCATGTTGAGGAGTTTCTGACAGGATAAAGGGAGCACCATTCTTTGGCATAGCTGGAAGTGACAGAGATGGGCACAACTAGGCCATGGAGCAAGTAAAGTGGAAGTCCCAGGAAACCAGATGATTAAAATTTATCTGTTTCTAAGAAAAAGTTGACCTTATAAAGAACTTGGGTAAGGGACATAGGGTGAAAGCCAATGTTTCTAAGTAACATTAATAAAGAAAGATATCTTGAGAGCCTATGTTGTGGGAGATCTTTAAATGTAATTAGATACTATAATGGAGAGAATACAGAAAAAAATAGTTTATCTCGCATTTTATTAACATGAGACTATTAGTTGTTATTTTCTTGTTTTACCAGCATAATATGATTAATATTTATGTTCACATCTTGGAATCATTAGAATATCATGAAGTGGTTTTGGCATAATGCAAGAGAAATTAAATCATCTTCAGCATCATTCTACTGTATAATCAATTTCTATTGTTTTGCAGAAAGTAATTAATAAATGCATATTATTATCATTTGTTACTCAGAATTTTTGTTTAAGTTGATTACAGTATATTCTAATTATGTGTTGTTTATAATCAAGGTTCTGTAAACAAGAGTTCGAACACATAAAATTTGAACACATTATGTAAATCATACTAACCATAATTGTCATTGCAGAGTTTTCTGCAGAACAGCCAATTTGGTGAAAAATTAGATAAAGAAAGTAATTATTTTTAATTACCTATTTAATGAGCCCAGTATTTTACTGTGAGGGCACAGAAAGAAGGCAACTGTCTGCAAACCAAGAAAAGAGCCCTCGACACACACAGAATCTTCTAGCATCATGATCTTGGACTTCCCAGCCTCCAGAACTGTGAAAAATAAGTGGTAAGTGTGTATTGGTAAGTGACCCAGTCTGTGATATTTTGTTATAGCAGTTTGAACAGAGTAATACATCCATCATTGATTTTTGCCCCATTTCAGATATCAACACGTAAGAAAAGTCAAATAACGTAATAATTGTTTTGAAAATCGTTTTATCCTTTACATCCACTGAAAGCATCCGAGAGAGTTTTGGGAGTCCAGAATTTACTCACGAATGAGTACATGTGTATAATGGGAAGAAAAACAAAATAGTTAATTGTGTTTTCTAAGTTATCCAATCAAGCAAATGTAACACTCACATGTGTTCACTGTATATTTGGTGATATTCTGAAGAGGTGATTTAAAAATTAGTGTCCATAAATTAAAGAGTGATGTATAGTATTTCACATTTCCAAGTGTAGGGAGAAAAAAGCCAGTTTTTACTCAATGCAGTATAGTTATCATCATTAAAATTGAAAGGCTGTTTTTGCCAATGAAATATTTCTTTGCACTTACTGAAATTCACATTTATTTTTACTCAGTGCCATGAAGGTTGGAGTTGAAATATATCTTTCCTTTGTACCTAAAACATAATGAAAAATGTGACATTATAAGAAAAAAGTGAATAATGATAGCCACTCCTAACAGCTTGATCCAATAATTTACTTATCGATGGCAGCATAGTCACCATAACCTGCTGACTGTTTCTAAAGTGTCAGGAGATGCTGTCAGGGGAAATATGTTGTCCAACACACATAAAGATGATGCCACTGATCCATTGTGTCAGTTATTCAGTGTTGGTGATGGATTTACTCTTGTCTCCATTGAGATACTTTTTTCTACTTACCCTCCTTCTACCCTTTTGACCACTGAAACTAATTTTTTAAAGAAGCTGTGAGGATGGAAAGAGCAGTATGCGGAAATGACTACAGATGTCCTACTATAAGAAGACTGGGCTTCTTGCTTTTCTTCACTTTTTTTTCCATTGTTTGCAGACTGTGTAAGAAGAATTTACCCAAAACTGACACATCCTTTGCCAAGTACCATAATTTTGCATGTCCATTTATTTATCAATGTGTCTTATTCTCTGTATAAAACTAGATAAATATAAATATAGTCATAGGGTGGATAGGTAACACATCAATGTTGTGTTAATGAATAAATGACAAACTGTTTTAAGGACCAGTTAAGTGAAGCAGCTGTTAGGGAAGAAGAATAAAACAGCTTCTATGGAATTTACATGAGAATAGTATTACAGAATTGTTTGTCCCCTTGCCTGATTAAGAATATTTAGGGGGTTTTGATTGAAGCAGAAAAGAATAAAGGGATATACCCATCTTGGTTAAACAGTTAAGTAAACCCTAACACCTTATGAGAGTTTGAATAAAATAATGGTTATAATAAGTATCAAATACTAGAATAATTGAATATTTTAATTGATCAACATATAGCACACATCCAAACTTATAAAAGGAGGAATAAACCTCATGGATTAGGTAATCCAAAATAACAGCACTAAGGTTCAGACAAGGAAAAAAAACATGTATCAAGAATAGCCAGGTAACTGGTGTTACATCTAGATATTTCCTATATCTAATAATATTATTGAAAGAGAATGATGGTAGAGTGTGTCTAGTTAAGATACTCATGGAGAAAAAAAAAAGATATTTTTATTTGGACCATGGAGTCAGATAAAGCATTAACAGGTAAAGAATAAGAAGGAATTTGAGATAATGTGGAGGGGGGAGAAAAAGCCTATTGTCATATTTTTAACTATTAGAAATCAAAATTTTATAATTTTACAATTTTACTAAGGGATTTTAAAGGCAGAGGGGCTTTTGTATATTTGTATTTGTTATCCTGAGGGAATATGATCAAAGACTTTTTTTGGAAAAATTAATCACACATGCACATAGATTTTAGGAGAGATTGAGAGAAATTGATGAAAAAAGCATATCTGAGGATTTATTTTTGATATCAAAGATACAAATGTTTTGCAACTCATCCTAAGTATTTACAATGTAATGAAAAATAAGGCCTATAGACCAGAGAATCTGGAAAGAATTGGGAGGGTTGTTTGCTAGTATGTGGAAAGGAAGAGCATAGTAAGCTGTCATATCAAGAAGAATCTGTATTGTCAGTAAAAACATCAACCCGAGTGCTGGAGTCTCCAAATAATTGTGGGATTCACTGCCTTTATTATAAAGATGCAATCGATTTCGGGAATTTTCTTTACATCTCATGTCACATTCTTCTGATTATCTTCAATAATGGCCAATATCTTCATTCTTTTGATAGTAATACATAATTGAAAAATGCTTCAAACTCGTTCAGATTCTCATGTAACAATTAAGGTCTGTGGTCTCTGTTGAAACTTTTCATGTGATTTTTAAAAAAAGAGACTGTATTATTTCGGAAAGAATACCAAGAGATGTATCAGTCCATACCAATGTTGATCAGTATTTATGAATCTCTGAAATGCACTGTTTTGAATGCCAACATTAGTTTAGATATATTAAATTTACTAGGATAGGTGAAAAACAGGGCCCTATATTTATTACATTTTATTAGGAATCAAAATGCATGCAAGTCTGTTGTGTAATTTCACTGAGTTACACTAGTAGTTACAAAACTGAGTGATTTGCCTGTTTTATCTAACCCAATCAACATAAGCCATTTCATTGAATCTATAACATATAACCTTTTCTCCATATGTTAGAAAACATTTATTATATGCCTTCAACATAAACATATTTTTCTTCAGAAAGAACTACCTAGTCCCCAGATTTGGTAGAGAAGCCTAATAAGTAAAGTCATAACATCCCCTAATTCTCTTTAATAGAAATTATGACAACTTACTGTAGCTGATTCTTTAAATTATCTGCATCCCTACAGTGCCTGGTGTGGTGCCTCATCTTGATCCCCCTTCAGGTCTCAGGAGCTAAGCCCCCAATTGCTGGGAACGTTCAGTATTGATGACCTGTGCTTGCATGCTTGCATTGATGGTAGCTGCCCCACATTTTCAGCTGGTCAGTGACGAACTACAAAACTTGTCTCCCTGTCTCTACCTTGAACATTTTCAAAGGCCCATTGTAGTTTCACATCTTTCTGTGCAACTAATGGGAGCTATTGCTGCATCTGCATCACTGTTCAGCTTCTCTCTGACCAATTCTGCTTCAATTGCTCTCTCTCTCAAAAGTCTTATTCCTGAGAGCCTTTCCCACTAAAATATCCTTAATTCAAGTCTCAGAGTCCATTTTTTAAAAACACAGACATAAGACCTTTCATTCTGTTAGTTCCTAGGAAACAAACACTAATATGCAATTGTCAATTGCACCACCCACCACCACCTGGCAATGAGGCCCACATCACTGGTAGTATGTTGAATAGGAATAGCTCTTGGCATATGTGGCAGTGTGATTGTTAAAGTTCATGAATAACAAAGTGATACACCAAAATGGGCTACTAGTGAACGTTAATTCACTAATGAGCACAACACATCAGGCTTTTGAGGGTTATGTGAAAAGTAGTAATTATAAGAAAGATGACTGTTGATGGTTGTTGTGGGGAATAGTCCATACACTGGAGACAGACTATGAAGTCGAGTGTTATTAATCACCAATTTAGGTGAAATATAAGAGCCAGCAGGCCTCCTTTCTTATCTCAGCTAAAGTGTACTAAAAGCTGTGGATTATGTCCTGGGTTAAGTCCTGGATTAACCCCAGGACTTTAGTAGAAAAGAAGCAGAGATCCAAAAATAGTTGACTTTTTATTAAAAGTCTTCTATGCCGATGTCAAGAGATTGATTGGGAGGAATTGTAAACTTCAGTATGCATTGGTGTGATGGTTAATATTGAGTGTCATCATGATTGTATTAAAGGATACAAAGTATTGTTCCTGGGTGTGTCTCTGTGAAGGTGTTGCCAAAGGAGATTAACATTTATGTCAGTGGACTGGGAAAGGCAGACCCACCCTCAATCTGGGTAGGCACAGTCTAATAAACTGCCAGCCCAGCCAGAATATAAGCAGGTAGAAGAATGTGGAAAGACTAGACTGGCTTAGTCTTCTGGCATACATGCTTCTCCCCTGCTAGATGCTTCCTGCCCTCAAACATCGGACTCCAAGCTCTTCAGCTTTGGGACTCAGACTGGCTTCCTTGCTCCTTAGCTTGCAGACGGCCTATTGTGGGACCTTGTGATCATGTGAGTCAATATTTCTTAACAAACTCTCCTTTATATATACATCTATCCTGTTAGTTCTGTCCCTCTAGGGAATCCTAATACAAATGTCTGAATTGAAGCACTTGAGAATCTTGAATCACGGATTCTCCAGGCAACCATTTCAGTTGAAGACTTACTCTGGCAGAAGACAACTTAAAAATTTCTTCTTTGCCAAAAAATATAAACACTCATCAGGGTCTACCCCTATCTTTCTTCATAGCTACAAAACCATTAAACCATTTAATATACACCATTAAAAGGGCCTATATCTCATAGGAGCTGCAAGAGTCTGACAAGTTTGTATGATAATAGAGACAAGGTTCCTGGATCAAGAGTGGCATGTAACATCAAGCTTGATTACAGATTGATTATTATTATAAGAGCACTGTCTTTTAATACAGGATTTAAAACTTTGTAAAGGATCTAGAGGTGGTAGCAGAACCAAGGGAGACATCCATGTTCACACAACTATTTTGGTTCTTGAAAGCTTGGAAATAGTAATAGCCTACGCTATCTGAAGTGAAAATGCCACAATTTCCACAGAAGCCACTATAGAAAATAGAACAAAAGGCTCAGAGAAGTAGGCCGCATATCTCAGAAGGGTAAAAAACATACAAGCTAATTACGTGCTATGTGATGGCCCAGAAATCACTCCATTTACCAAAGTGAACATAAATGTGCTAGTGAGGGGAGTACAGGTATCTCTGAGAAATTCAATGGTCTCTTTCTTTTGTGGGCAACAGAACATTTTTAAAGTACCAAAAAGGTATAGACAAACAAAAACTGCTCAATCTAAACTTTTATACACTCAGATATGCTTTAAACTTAAGACAAGTTTTTAAAAGTCCTAAAATATTCATTCTCAGGAGACTTGCATTGCAGGAAATTGGAAAGGCAGTTCTTAAGGTAAAATGGAAAGAATAACAAATGAAAGGAAAAAGCAGCTTTACATAGAAAGAATGGAGAGGCCAGAAATGGTAAATTGTGAGTAAATACATTTTCTATTTTAAATCTCATTAAACAATAGCTTTCAAAGCAAAAATAACAATGCAACAATGCACTACTGAGTATATAAGATGTGTAGAAGAGGGGATGGAACCATTCTATTTTCTGACAGTATACGTTACTATAATATATGGGGAAGTAGTATATTATTTGAAGATAGATTATGATAAACTAAGCATATTTATTGTAAATTCTAGACTAAGGGTCAGGAAACTATGGCCTAAGTAGGTAGGTCTTACTTACAGTAAGTCTGGCCCAGTACCAGATGTACAAAATGTTGTTTACAGTTGTCAAAGTATATTAAAAAAATCAAAAGGAAGATTAAGTAGGAATAGAGGTGAGAAGAAAAGGAGGAAGAGATGAGGAGGAGGAGAAAAAAAAATATCACCATATGCAGTTCCGCAGTCTGGCAAATCTTTTTCTGAAGAAAAAAAAGAGATAGAAAATATTTTAGGGTTTGTGTGGCTTCCATTCATTAGCTTTCTATAATCTTTCCTCCTCAAGTAATGTGTTCAATGATGACACTGAAATATTTCCTATTGGATAATAGAAGCAATCACATTTAACATATCAAATTTTATTAAAGTAAATCTTCCATCTTTTGGAAAAAAATGAATTAGTTTTATTGTTAAAAGTATTCATAAATCAGTCAGGCATGGTGGCTCACACCTGTAATCCCAGCACTTTGGGAGGCTGAGGCAGGTGGATCACGAGGTCAGGAGATTGAGACCATCCTGGCTAACACAGTGAAACCCTGTCTCTACTAAAAATACAATTAGCTGGGCGTGGTGGCGGGCGCCTGTAGTCCCAGCTACTTGGGAGGCTGAGGTAGGAAAATGGTGTGAACCTGGGAGGGGGAGCTTGCAGTGAGCCGAGATCGCCCCACTGCACTCCAGCCTGGGCAACAGAGTGAGACTCTGTCTCAAAAAAAATAAATAAATAAAAAATATGTATTCATAAATCAAATACAATAAAAAACAAAAGTGTTTATTGTCTGAATATAATCAACTACTAAATTTACAAAATCACTAGAAACATAAAAGATTAAATTTCAATAAAAAGCAATTCCTAATAATTATGACTTTTTATAAATGTCACTCTACAAAGCACTTTAAATATTTCTTTTCTAGTAGCTCATTTAATGTTTATAACCTTTTATTAGTGGGACAATTGTTGTACCAATGATAAGGAAAATGAGGAGAAATAAATTCTCTTTCAATATGTGCTGTTATGACTGATGAGCTTTTTTTAGTTTTTATTTGAAGTATTTCTAAATAGCACAGAATTTACTGAGCTTATTAGATTAATGGAAAACAAATATATGTAATAAATAGCACAGATTAATAGTTTGCTAATACTGATTTGAATAAATTAAAATCATCAAAATGTACACAGCATATGTTGAATAAAATATTGTGCTGCACATTATAGTAATGTTTCTATTAATAGGCTGCTCATTTATAGTAGCATATGGCAGGTTTGGTGACAGCCAGGGAACTATTAATTCAGATAGGGTGAGAAATAAAAGGCCTCTCATGAAGTGATGAGTTTTCAATAAGTCATTAAACAAAGTGTTATTAAATTCCTACTATGTGTCACTGTTATAGGTAAAAGAGATATAGCACTAAAAGCAAGGGAGGTAAGACTCCTGCCTTCATGGATCTTGAAAGAAAGAGACAGAGAGATGGGAAAACAAGTTAATCTTAAATATTAAGTGCTATGAACCCACAACAGGATTTTTTGTAAGCAACTGGTAGGGGTGAGGGGAAGTCACTGTTGTTTTTAAGAGTCTAGAGTCTCTTTTAAAGGTTCAGTGCTTCACCTGAGACACCAATGTGGGGAATCTATGAAAACAGTGCTCAGAAAAAGATGAGCAGGGACAAAGGCTTAGAAAGAAAAAAAAAAGCCAGGTGGAGACACAGGAGACCTAACTCTTCAAATACACAACACTAAATTTGAGCAAGTCATTTGATAACTGTGCCTCTACTTCCTAATCCATAGTGAGTTGGATTAGATGTCCATGTAAAATGTTTTAGTTAACAATCTTTTTGTCTTGCTCTGTCTTCGGGTTGGAGTGCAGTGGTGTGATCATAGTAGACTAGCAGCCTCACTGCAGCCTCAAACTCTGGGCTCAAAGGATTCTCCTGCATCAGCCTCCTCAGTAGCTGGGACTACAGACATGCGCCACCAGGCCCAGCTATGTTTTTAATTTTTTCGTAGGGATGGGGTCTCATTTTGTTACCCAGGCTGGTCTAAAAACTTCTGAAATCAAGCGGTCCTTCTGCCTCAGCCTCCCGAAGTGTCAACAACTTTTTACAATATTTTTAATACTTTTATATTATACCTAAAATAACTAGTCCTGCAGTTCCGCCCTATATTCCCAGGCAAGCACTCAATAATAAACCTGCGTATTCTATTTGGACAGATGAATAAAACATAGTGAGCTTCGACCTTAGGTGTTAATTCTCTTACTCCCTAGTTTATCTGTAAGACTATATTATATCAACACATTAGCAAATTTTTGTTATGTTGGTTCATCTATTTTATGGTAGATTTTATTAATTTTTAAACAAACTTACTTTGTGTACTTTGATATATTGCTTATAGATAATATACATGATTATGTGTATTTTTCCTCACTTAAATGTTACTCTACCTTACAATGTTACATTCACCTTATTACTCCACTCTGATTATGCTGTACATATTTTTTTAAAAATAAGTTATTTATAAAATAACATTCCTAAAAGCCAACTAATTGATAGCAGAATTCTATTTTAATATTAAAATTTATTTCTAAGAGAAGATACTCTAGTTTGCATTAAGATGTCATTTAATACTGAAAATTAGTAAATAAAATTTTAACTGTAATTTATCTATAACAGTAATATATATAGCCTTAAATCATGTTTTTACGCGTTGTTAATTTATACATGTTTTTACTAAGCTAACCATATTTGCTACTATTTTTGTGCAGATCAAGCTGTAGTTCACTTGAAACAAAGGGATTGTGATCTTTGTACACAAGACATATTTGAACATATTTCTTCAACAGAGATTAACCTCAGACCTACTGTGTGACATAAGTTATTGAAAATGCTGGATTACGAGGGAGGTGGATCACGAGGTCAAGAGATCAAGACCATCCTGGCCAACATGATGAAACCCTGTCTCTACTAAAATTAGCCAGGCATGATGGCGTGCACCTGTAGTCCCTGCTACTTAGGGGGCTGAGGCAGGAGAATCACTTGAACCTGGGAGGCAGAGGTTGCAGTGAGCCCATTTCGCACCACTGTACTCCAGCCTGATGACAGAGCGAGACTCCATTTCAAAGAAAAAGAAAAAAAAAAGAAAGAAAATACTGGATTAATGTGCGAGGAGTTACTGGCTGAAGTCACACACAAAAAGCATCTCTTTGTGTACGATCCATGAATTTAATGATTTATCTATCATACGTTTTTCTTTTCAAGAAACCGAGTATATGCGGATGTGGTTATGGAACTACTTCTTCAAATACAATGACGCATGTTTAAATCTTGCATTGATATTTTACTTTTTTTTAAGTAGGTGTTCTTTCTTTTTCTTTTTCTTTATTTTATTATTTTTTTTTATTTTACTTTAAGTTCTGGGATACATGTACAGAAGCGTGCAGGTGTGTTACATAGGTACACATGTGCCATGGTGGTTTGCTGCATCTATCAACCCATCATCTAGGTTTTAACACCTGCATGCATTAGGTATTTGTCCTAATGCCCTCCCTCCCCTTGCCCCCCACCCCCCAACAGGCCCTGGTGTGTGATGTTCCCCTCCCTGTGTCCATGTGTTCTTATTGTTCAACTCCTACTTATGAGTGAGAACATGCAGTGTTTGGTTTGCTGTTCCTGTGTTAGTTTGCTGAGGATGATGGTTTCCAGCTTCATCCATGTCCTGCAAACGACATGAACTCATTCTTTTTTATGGCTACATAGTATTCCACAGTGTATATGTGCCACATTTTCTTTATCCAGTCTATCATTGATAGGCATTTGGGTTGGTTCCAAGTCTTTGCTATTGTGAATAGTGCTGCAATAAACATATGTGTGCATGTGTCTGTATAGTAGAATAATTTATAACCCTTTGGGTATATACCCAGTAATGGAATTGCTGAGTCAAATGGAATTTCTGGTTCTAGATCCTTGAGGAATCACCACACTATCTTCAACAATGGTTGAACTAACTTACACTCCTGCCAACAATGTAAAAGCATTCCTATTTCTCCACATCCTCACCAGCATCTGTTGTGCCTGACTTTTTAATAATTGCCATTCTAACTGGTGTGAGATGGCATCTCATTGTAGTTTTGATTTGCATTTCTCTAATGACCAGTGATGATGAGCTTTTCTTCATATGTTTTTTGGCCACATAAATGTCTTCTTTTGAGAAGTGTCTATTCATATCCTTCACCCACTTGTTGATGTGGTTGTTTGTTTTTTCTTGTAAATTTGTTTAAGTTTCTTGTAGATTCTGGATATTAGCCCTTTGTCAGATGGATAGATTGCAAAAATTTTCTCCCATTCTATAGGTTTCCTGTTCACTCTGATGATAGTTTATTTTGCTGTGTAGAAGCTCTTTAGCTTAATTAGATCCCATTTGTCAGTTTTGGCTTTTGTTGCAATTGCTTTTAGTGTTTTAATCTTGAAGTCTTTGCCCATGCCTATGTCCTGAATGATACTGTCTAGGTTTTCTTCTAGGGATTTTATGGTATTATGTTTAAGTCTTTAATCTATCTTGAGTTAATTTTTATGTAAAGTGTAAGGAAGGAGTCCAGTTTCAGTTGTCTGCATATGGCTAGCCAGTTTTCCCAGCACCATTTATTAAATAGGGAATCCTTTCCCCATTGCTTGTTTTTGTCAGGTTTGTCAAAGATCAGATGGTTGTAGATGTGTGGTGTTATTTCTTAGGCCTCTGTTCTGTTCCATTGGTCTATATATCTGTTTTCATATGAGTACCATGCTGTTTTGGTTACTGTAGCCTTGCAGTATAGTTTGAAGTCAGGTAGGGTGATGCCTCCTGCTTTGTTCTTTTTCCTTAGGATTGTCATGGCTACATGAGCTCTTTTTTGGTTCCGTAGTGAAATCTAAAGTAGATTTTCTAGTTCTGTGAAGAAAGTCAGTGGTAGTTTGATGGGAAAAACGTTGAATTTATAAATTACTTTGGGCATTGTGGCCATTTTCTTGATATTAATTCTTCCTATCCATGACCACGAAATTTTTTTCTATTTGTTTGTGTCCTCTCTTATTTCCTTGAGCAGTGATTTGTAGTTCTCCTTGAAAAGGTCCTTCATATCACTTCTTAGCTGTTTTCTTATCTATTTCCTATCAATTTCTGCATTGATATTTCATTCTTATAAAACAAGAATCCTGGTTTCATGGATTCTGTTTCATTCAGAGGGATTCTCTGACTTCCCAAATTCTAAACAAAACTCATAAAGTGCTTGTAACAATCATGACATTAGTTAATAGGGATTGGGAAGATACTGAGTTAGTGAAGGTGGCAAAAATTAATTATTCAGCCTGTCCTATTAGAATCAAATACCTATTAATTAGGCAATTTCACATTATTTCAATTTATGAAATTTAGTTCTTACAATAACTCTGCAAATTACTGAATTGCTTAGAATTATTTTGTCTTACAGAACAGAAATCCATTTTGGTTAACTAATTTTAAATAGATAATTAAGTAAATAAATATTTATAACTTTTTTAAAAAGCAGAGATAAAGGATCAAAGAAAAGCTAAATACCCACTTCTTATGAAGGACAGGAACACGCACAGCTGTAGAAATTTAAATTAGGAACACATGGATTATGTGTTTGGGATGTTGATTTTAGCCTTACCTTAATGTGACATTGCATTCAAACTTCAATTTACCAGGGCGAAAAGCCTGATAGCCTTGATTGAATGATTTGCTCATTGCCTGATAGCAGGTAATAGGACATAGAGAATGAAGTTTCAATAAGCAGAATTTCTTCTAGAACCATATGGAATGAAGTGTGAAGATTACCCTTACGAAATATGGAATGACTTTATCCAAAGAAGGGGAAAGGGAGGCTGTATAGAAGAATAAAGAAACTGTCTACAATATAGCTCTCTTTTTTTTTTTTTTTTTTTTTTTATTATACTCTAAGTTTTAGGGTACATGTGCACATTGTGCAGGTTACATATGTATACATGTGCCATGCTGGTGTGCTGCACCCACTAACGTGTCATCTAGCATTAGGTATATCTCCCAATGCTATCCCTCCCCCCTCCCCCGACCCCACCACAGTCCCCAGAGTGTGATATTCCCCTTCCTGTGTCCAAGTGTTCTCATTGTTCAATTCCCACCTATGAGTGAGAATATGCGGTGTTTGGTTTTTTGTTCTTGCGATAGTTTACTGAGAATGATGGTTTCCAATTTCATCCATGTCCCTACAAAGGACATGAACTCATCATTTTTTATGGCTGCATAGTATTCCATGGTGTATATGTGCCACATTTTCTTAATCCAGTCTATCATTGTTGGACATTTGGGTTGGTTCCAAGTCTTTGCTATTGTGAATAGTGCCGCAATAAACATACGTGTGCATGTGTCTTTATAGCAGCATGATTTATAGTCCTTTGGTTATATACCCAGTAATGGGATAGCTGGGTCAAATGGTATTTCTAGTTCTAGATCCCTGAGGAATCGCCACACTGACTTCCACAATGGTTGAACTAGTTTACAGTCCCACCAACAGTGTAAAAGTGTTCCTATTTCTCCACATCCTCTCCAGCACCTGTTGTTTCCTGACGTTTTAATGATTGCCATTCTAACTGGTGTGAGATGATATCTCATAGTGGTTTTGATTTGCATTTCTCTGATGGCCAGTGATGATGAGCATTTCTTCATGTGTTTTTTGGCTGCATAAATGTCTTCTTTTGAGAAGTGTCTGTTCATGTCCTTCGCCCACTTTTTGATGGGGTTGTTTGTTTTTTTCTTGTAAATTTGTTTGAGTTCATTGTAGATTCTGGATATTAGCCCTTTGTCAGATGAGTAGGTTGCGAAAATTTTTTCCCATGTTGTAGGTTGCCTGTTCACTCTGATGGTAGTTTCTTTTGCTGTGCAGAAGCTCTTTAGTTTAATTAGATCCCATTTGTCAATTTTGGCTTTTGTTGCAATTGCTTTTGGTGTTTTGGACATGAAGTCCTTGCCCACACCTATGTCCTGAATGGTAATGCCTAGGTTTTCTTCTAGGGTTTTTATGGTTTTAGGTCTAACGTTTAAATCTTTAATCCATCTTGAATTGACTTTTGTATAAGGTGTAAGGAAGGGATCCAGTTTCAGCTTTCTACATATGGCTAGCCAGTTTTCCCAGCACCATTTATTAAATAGGGAATCCTTTCCCCATTGCTTGTTTTTCTCAGGTTTGTCAAAGATCAGATAGTTGTAGATATGTGGCATTATTTCTGAGGGCTCTGTTCTGTTCCATTGATCTATATCTCTGTTTTGGTACCAGTACCATGCTGTTTTGGTTACTGTAGCCTTGTAGTATAGTTTGAAGTCAGGTAGTGTGATGCCTCCAGCTTTGTTCTTTTGGCTTAGGATTGACTTGGCGATGCGGGCTCTTTTTTGGTTCCATATGAACTTTAAAGTAGTTTTTTCCAATTCTGTGAAGAAAGTCATTGGTAGCTTGATGGGGATGGCATTGAATCTGTAAATTACCTTGGGCAGTATGGCCATTTTCATGATATTGATTCTTCCTACCCATGAGCATGGAATGTTCTTCCATTTGTTTGTGTCCTCTTTTATTTCCTTGAGCAGTGGTTTGTAGTTCTCCTTGAAGAGGTCCTTCACATCCCATGTAAGTTGGATTCCTAGGTATTTTATTCTCTTTGAAGCAATTGTGAATGGGAGTTCACTCATGATTTGGCTCTCTGTTTGTGTGTTGTTGGTGTATAAGAATGCTTGTGATTTTTGTACATTGATTTTGTATCCTGAGACTTTGCTGAAGTTGCTTATCAGCTTAAGGAGATTTTGGGCTGAGACGATGGGGTTTTCTAGATAAACAATCATGTCGTCTGCAAACAGGGACAATTTGACTTCCTCTTTTCCTAATTGAATACCCTTTATTTCCTTCTCCTGCCTGATTGCCCTGGCCAGAACTTCCAACACTATGTTGAATAGTAGCGGTGAGAGAGGGCATCCCTGTCTTGTGCCAGTTTTCAAAGGGAATGCTTCCAGTTTTTGCCCATTCAGTATGATATTGGCTGTGGGTTTGTCATAGATAGCTCTTATTATTTTGAAATACGTCCCATCAATACCTAATTTATTGAGAGTTTTTAGCATGAAGGGTTGTTGAATTTTGTCAAAGGCTTTTTCTGCATCTATTGAGATAATCATGTGGTTTTTGTCTTTGGCTCTGTTTATATGCTGGATTACATTTATTGATTTGCGTATATTGAACCAGCCTTGCATCCCACGGATGAAGCCCACTTGATCATGGTGGATAAGCTTTTTGATGTGCTGCTGGATTCGGTTTGCCAGTATTTTATTGAGGATTTTTGCATCAATGTTCATCAAGGATATTGGTCTAAAGTTCTCTTTTTTGGTTGTGTCTCTGCCCGGCTTTGGTATCAGAATGATGCTGGCCTCATAAAATGAGTTAGGGAGGATTCCCTCTTTTTCTATTGATTGGAATAGTTTCAGGAGGAATGGTACCAGTTCCTCCTTGTACCTCTGGTAGAATTCGGCTGTGAATCCATCTGGTCCTGGACTCTTTTTGGTTGGTAAACTATTGATTATTGCCACAATTTCAGAGCCTGTTATTGGTCTATTCAGAGATTCAACTTCTTCCTGGTTTAGTCTTGGGAGAGTGTATGTGTCGAGGAATGTATCCATTTCTTCTAGATTTTCTAGTTTATTTGCGTAGAGGTGTTTGTAGTATTCTCTGATGGTAGTTTTTATTTCTGTGGGATCAGTGGTGATATCCCCTTTATCATTTTTTATTGTGTCTATTTGATTCTTCTCTCTTTTTTTCTTTATTAGTCTTGCTAGCGGTCCATCAATTTTGTTGATCCTTTCAAAAAACCAGCTCCTGGATTCATTGATTTTTTGAAGGGTTTTTTGTGTCTCTATTTCCTTCAGTTCTGCTCTGATTTTAGTTATTTCTTGCCTTCTGCTAGCTTTTGAATGTGTTTGCTCTTGCTTTTCTAGTTCTTTTAATTGTGATGTTAGGGTGTCAATTTTGGATCTTTCCTGCTTTCTCTTGTGGGCATTTAGTGCTATAAATTTCCCTCTACACACTGCTTTGAATGCGTCCCAGAGATTCTGGTATGTGGTGTCTTTGTTCTCGTTGGTTTCAAAGAACATCTTTATTTCTGCCTTCATTTCGTTATGTACCCAGTAGTCATTCAGGAGCAGGTTGTTCAGTTTCCATGTAGTTGAGTGGCTTTGAGTGAGATTCTTAATCCTGAGTTCTAGTTTGATTGCACTGTGGTCTGAGAGATAGTTTGTTATAATTTCTGTTCTTTTACATTTGCTGAGGAGAGCTTTACTTCCAACTATGTGGTCAATTTTGGAATAAGTGTGGTGTGGTGCTGAAAAAAATGTATATTCTGTTGATTTGGGGTGGAGAGTTCTGTAGATGTCTATTAGGTCTGCTTGGTGCAGAGCTGAGTTCAATTCCTGGGTATCCTTGTTGACTTTCTGTCTCGTTGATCTGTCTAATGTTGACAGTGGGGTGTTAAAGTCTCCCATTATTAATGTGTGGGAGTCTAAGTCTCTTTGTAGGTCACTCAGGACTTGCTTTATGAATCTGGGTGCTCCTGTATTGGGTGCATAAATATTTAGGATAGTTAGCTCCTCTTGTTGTATTGATCCCTTTACCATTATGTAATGGCCTTCTTTGTCTCTTTTGATCTTTGTTGGTTTAAAGTCTGTTTTATCAGAGACTAGGATTGCAACCCCTGCCTTTTTTTGTTTTCCATTGGCTTGGTAGATCTTCCTCCATCCTTTTATTTTGAGCCTATGTGTGTCTCTGCACGTGAGATGGGTTTCCTGAATACAGCACACTGATGGGTCTTGACTCTTTATCCAACTTGCCAGTCTGTGTCTTTTAATTGCAGAATTTAGTCCATTTATATTTAAAGTTAATATTGTTATGTGTGAATTTCATCCTGTCATTATGATGTTAGCTGGTGATTTTGCTCATTAGTTGATGCAGTTTCTTCCTAGTCTCGATGGTCTTTACATTTTGGCATGATTTTGCAGCGGCTGGTACCGGTTGTTCCTTTCCATGTTTAGCGCTTCCTTCAGGAGCTCTTTTAGGGCAGGCCTGGTGGTGACAAAATCTCTCAGCATTTGCTTGTCTATAAAGTATTTTATTTCTCCTTCACTTATGAAGCTTAGTTTGGCTGGATATGAAATTCTGTGTTGAAAATTCTTTTCTTTAAGAATGTTGAATATTGGCCCCCACTCTCTTCTGGCTTGTAGGGTTTCTGCCGAGAGATCCGCTGTTAGTCTGATGGGCTTTCCTTTGAGGGTAACCCGACCTTTCTCTCTGGCTGCCCTTAACATTTTTTCCTTCATTTCAACTTTGGTGAATCTGACAATTATGTGTCTTGGAGTTGCTCTTCTCGAGGAGTATCTTTGTGGCGTTCTCTGTATTTCCTGAATCTGAACGTTGGCCTGCCTTGCTAGATTGGGGAAGTTCTCCTGGATAATATCCTGCAGAGTGTTTTCCAACTTGGTTCCATTCTCCACATCACTTTCAGGTACACCAATCAGACGTAGATTTGGTCTTTTCACATAGTCCCATATTTCTTGGAGGCTTTGCTCATTTCTTTTTATTCTTTTTTCTCTAAACTTCCCTTCTCGCTTCATTTCATTCATTTCATCTTCCATTGCTGATACCCTTTCTTCCAGTTGATCGCATCGGCTCCTGAGGCTTCTGCATTCTTCACGTAGTTCTCGAGCCTTGGTTTTCAGCTCCATCAGCTCCTTTAAGCACTTCTCTGTATTGGTTATTCTAGTTATACATTCTTCTAAATTTTTTTCAAAGTTTTCAACTTCTTTGCCTTTGGTTTGAATGTCCTCCCGTAGCTCAGAGTAATTTGATCGTCTGAAGACTTCTTCTCTCAGCTCGTCAAAATCATTCTCCATCCAGCTTTGTTCTGTTGCTGGTGAGGAACTGCGTTCCTTTGGAGGAGGAGAGGCGCTCTGCGTTTTAGAGTTTCCAGTTTTTCTGTTCTGTTTTTTCCCCATCTTTGTGGTTTTATCTACTTTTGGTCTTTGATGATGGTGATGTACAGATGGGTTTTCGGTGTAGATGTCCTTTCTGGTTGTTAGTTTTCCTTCTAACAGACAGGACCCTCAGCTGCAGGTCTGTTGGAATACCCTGCCGTGTGAGGTGTCAGTGTGCCCCTGCTGGGGGGTGCCTCCCAGTTAGGCTGCTCGGGGGTCAGGGGTCAGGGACCCACTTGAGGAGGCAGTCTGCCCATTCTCAGATCTCCAGCTGCGTGCTGGGAGAACCACTGCTCTCTTCAAAGCTGTCAGACAGGGACACTTAAGTCTGCAGAGGTTACTGCTGTCTTTTTGTTTGTGTGTGTCCTGCCCCCAGAGGTGGAGCCTACAGAGGCAGGCAGGCCTCCTTGAGCTGTGGTGGGCTCCACCCAGTTCGAGCTTCCAGGCTGCTTTGTTTACCTAAGCAAGCCTGGGCAATGGCGGGCGCCCCTCCCCCAGCCTCGTTGCCGCCTTGCAGTTTGATCTCAGACTGCTGTGCTAGCAATCAGCGAGATTCCGTGGGCGTAGGACCCTCTGAGCCAGGTGTGGGATATAGTCTCGTGGTGCGCCGTTTCTTAAGCCGGTCTGAAAAGCGCAATATTCGGGTGGGAGTGACCCGATTTTCCAGGTGCGTCCGTCACCCCTTTCTTTGACTCGGAAAGGGAACTCCCTGACCCCTTGCGCTTCCCAGGTGAGGCAATGCCTCGCCCTGCTTCGGCTCGCGCACGGTGCGCGCACCCACTGGCCTGCGCCCACTGTCTGGCACTCCCTAGTGAGATGAACCCGGTACCTCAGATGGAAATGCAGAAATCACCCGTCTTCTGCGTCGCTCACGCTGGGAGCTGTAGACCGGAGCTGTTCCTATTCAGCCATCTTGGCTCCTCCTCCCTACAATATAGCTCTTATTGGTATCAGAGTGATGAGGTACATTAATTTTGGCCAAGGAAATCAGCTTGTAATTTTCCAAACTTCACTCTCTTTTTCTTTTCACAATGCTTATAAGGCAAAGGCTAGCACATATGTATCAGTTTAACATTTTAGCTACCAGAAAATGCCAGATAGATGTTCAAAATTTGGTGAATTATTTTCACATGCCCATGTGATTGCAAGGAGGCATATTCATATGTACAGTTAAATCAGAATGACAGAAATATTTTATAAGTCAATTTGTATATTTTAAATAGTTGTACTTCTGATTCTTTTCTATTCTGGTGTTTAATTTCAAAGTGAAAATCTCTACTGTAGATTTTAGTCTACTTGGTCAACCATATATTTTTTTAAAACCTGAAAAATGAAAACTTATTTGCTCAATGCTTTAGTTTTAAGCACAAGGCATAAATTTAAAATTATAGCCTGAAACAGATGCTCAACATATGCCACAGATATAGAGATGATTTTCATCATTATCAATTAAGCTCTCACTGGCTGGATATAATAGGTATTGTAAGAAGAAAGTCAGAAGCTGTAAATTTTGAAGCACAGTAAATAGGGCAAAGTAAAAATTTAAGTTGTAATGTGGAATAGCATGTTTTCTTGGTATTTTAATTTATATTAAAATGGAAAGCTTTAGTATTACAGCTTCATATCAAGATTATTAAAGTGCAATCTCAATTGCTACAGAATATTTCAGCATTCTAATATCAGAGAAATAAAACTTTAATTTGCACCTAGCTGTCAAATTGAGCCATATATGTGTTATATATAGCTATAGATAGATATATAGATATATACAGTCTTCAAATTATATATATATACATATATATACACACATATATACACGCATATATATATATATATATATATCCAAACATATTTTTATTGGGAAACCTCTTATTTTATAGAAATTTTTATCAACCATTTACAAAAATAAAATAATTGTAATGACAGAAATAAAATTGGTAAAAATAAAATTCATGACATTATGCAATTATCTTTTATATCCCCATAGGAATAAAGGATAATGCAGATCTTGAAAGAGTAGTCTTTATTCAGTGAAGAAAATTGGCTGCTTTATCATAATGGAAATGCTGTTAGATAACTTTTACATTAAACATGAATCTGTCAGGCATTCCTGTCAGGAATCTGTCAGGAATGTTATGTTTTACATTCATTTTTTAAATAAGAAAATATTATTACTATGAAGTTTATATTATTAACATTTGAAACACATTAAATAACTAGTTTCTCTCAAATCTGTTAAATTCTTACTCTGTGTCATGAGTGCAAACTGAATGTTGATCACATACCTCTAAGTCTTCTATAAGGATTTCATCAGATGCTATGTGGAAAAAAAATTGTACAGTTAAATTTTTGGTAAAGTAAACATTTTGAGTAAAGTTAAGCAAATTTTTCACAGATGAAATACAAAATCTCAAAAGAAGACCTAACAGTGTTTCTGTCAGGTCTTTAGCTACTCAAATATCCTTCTCAAAGGGACATTGTGAAGAAAACACTTAGGGAGTCCTTACAGTATAAACTGGTAAGTGGTAGGAGAACACACAGGAGAATAATCTTATTTAACTTAAGGATTCAGATATGGCTTTCCAGGGAAGTTCAATTTGAAATGGGTTATTTACTCTAAATAGGAGTTAACCAAATGATGGTTGATGCAAGAAGAGGAAATTCCAAATGCGAAAGTTCCAAGGTAGCAATGCACATAGCTAGAGTGTCTGTGCATGTGACGCTGACAGTGAGAAGAACTAGAGATACGTGTGTCAAGAGAGGGCAGTTAAAGTTTAAATATATAATCTAGAGGAGGTGGCTATGAGGAGATATTCAAGTAGAAAAATACTATGGGCAATAGAATAAACTTATCTGGAGTTCTTGAGAATTCCAGAATCATTTATAAAAGTTTTTAAATCACTGGGAAAAAATCACTTGTTGAAAATCTACACAGTATATTAAGAATTGAAGTATCTGCATTAAAAGAGACTGTTCTCTGACCCAATAGATGTTACTGTCTATTGGGCAGTACTAATAATGAATATAGAAAGAGAACATATAATTTGGGAAAGGCAAGAGCTGAAAGATTAGCCTTCAGGAATATTTAAGACATTATCAAAGCAATACGCATACATAAACAAGACTTTTAAAATATAACCAATATGCAAAAGTAAAACACAAAGAACAAATAACCACAGCAATTAGAAAAGTGAGAATTTTAAGAAAACACAATGATCAATTCTTTGTAATACTTCAGAAAGTTTACCAGTTATTTCTCCATTTCTTTTCGCTGAAGGAGGCCATTTCAGGATGAGAGTGAAATGTAATTACTTGAGAGTTAAATGGTATGTGGGAATTAGAGGTTATAAATGAAAACAGAAAAGGTAGCTAAGTAGATAGAGAGAAATACAACATTCAATTATTTCATTTTTTTATTTGAGAGAGATGAATAGGAAATACATGAATCAAGAGAGTGAAAAAAAGTGAACCACATTTTCACTAAGATAAGGATTTCTAAGAATGTAGGAGTATGCAAATTGAAATACACTGACAGGAGACATGGAGCTAAATAAAAAAATGTCTTGTCAGATGGTCTTAATTTTCACAGTGAAGGACATAATGTATTTATGAAAATAATGGATGAAAGTGTTTTAAATGCTAAACTAAGTAAAGTTTGGTGTAATTACTGAGAAAAGGGGAAAAGAAATGACTAGAGTTCTATGGAGATTGCTAGGTATATAACAGTCAAGAGATTATTTAACTGAGTTGCAAAACCATCTGTCCATTTTCCCTCTGTGGTATCTAGTTTCATTTTTGTTGTCTTATTGTTTCTTTTCTTTCTTTCTTTTTTTTTGTTTGTTTGTTTGATGGAATCTTGCTCTGTAGCCAAGGCTGGAGTACAGTGGCACATTCTCTGCTCACTGCAACCTTCACCTCCCGAGTTCAAGCAATTCTTCTGCCTCAGCTTCCGTAGTAGCTGGGATTACAGGCACGTGCCACCACCCCCAGCCAATTTTTGTACTTTTAGTAGAGACGAGGTTTCACCATATTGGCCAGGCTGGTCCGGACCTCTTGATCCTCCCGCCTCGGCCTCCCAAAGTTCTGGGATTACAGGCGTGAGCCACCACACCCAGGCTTTTTTGTTATTTCTATTATCCTTCAGATTAATTATTTGAACGAATTTTCTTGCATTTGAATTATTTAATTGATTTAAAGTTATTTTTCAGTAGAGTTAGCTTGGAATGAAAAGGGAACAAATGATAAGAATTACATTATGGAAACCATCATTCTCATCAAACTAACACAAGAACAGAAAACCAAACACCACATGTTCTCACTTACAAGTGGGAGTTGAGCAATGAGAACACATGAACACGGAGGGGAATATCACACACTGGGGCCTGTCGGCAGTTGGGGCGCTATGGCAGGGACAGCATTAGGAGAAACACCTAATGTAGGTGACGGGTTGATAGGTGCAGCAAACCACCATGGCACGTGTATACCTATGTAACTAAACTGCACGTTTGGCACATGTGCCCCAGAACTTAAAGTATAATAATAATTAAAAAAAAGAATTACATTATGGAATGGTGGATGGATATAGACACAAGTGAAGTAATAAACTTGTTGCTCCTACTAGATCTGAAGGTTTCAATATTTGAAGAACAAAAAAGTAAAAATAAAATAAAATAATAAAAAAGATTGTGACCATAAAGCAGAGTAAGATTATGACACGATTTGGCATGTAACGTTGGATGAAAGTTAAAAAAGAGAAGTGAGGTGAATTCTTCTTCACATTAGTGGAGATAATTTTACTGGTTTTATAAAATTATTGTAAGAATGAATAAGACAATTCATGTAAAGAGCTAAAAATAGTGACTGACATGTAATATGTGTGCAATAAATATTGAAATTTGAAGATATCATTATTATTTTTTAAGGTTCCTATTACTATCTATTTGGAATAGTCTTGATGGGTATCTGGCCTTTACAGAAGTAGCTCCGGGTCACATATAGCAAAGCTAGAGGCAATTTGTAATATAAGACTGTTCACTCAGTCTTCTGGAAAGAGGAAAATGATGGAAGAGAAACATGCCTCTATAAAAGTTATTCCCAGAAGGAGAGGATGGCAAGGTTGTAGCTGAGTCAGCAGAAAGGCTACTATTATGCGAAGTCACAGAAGAAATATTTCCAAAGAAAATAATAAATGTAGCATCATTTAGACTGTGATTAATATTATAAACAAATTCTTCCAAACTATACCTTCAAAATATTTATTGAGCATGTTATGCAAATTACTATCCAAGTACCCAGTAGGTACTCAATTCACTGTAGAAAGAGAGAAGAGTAGAGAGGGAGAACGACTTATTAGCTCATTGATGAAATAAGTGAACAAATAAAAAAATCAAAGAACACATGAATGAAAAACAGAAACACAAAGATTTATTCTACAGTTTTAAGCTGACAGAATACTTACAGCCTTTAAAGAAACACCTTGAAATTTTTCCTTTGCTATGACAGTTAATACGGTTAATTACTTAATATAACTAATTATATTCAAGAAAATGTATTTAATTTTTAAAATCCAAACATATATACTATATACAGTTTGTTGAACTATACGTACAAACACACAGATTTTTTACTCTCTTACATGATTTTTGAAACTCACTACTTAATTACTTAATTCCTAATTTCGAATGAAGGAGGTGGTGTTTCTCATTACTCTAACTTTGAATAATGAACTTTAAATTTCTTTGCAATTCAGCTGTGATGAACTTGAGCATAATAAATGTAGCAAGCCTATATAAATTCTTTTAATTTTGAACTTATTATTACAAAATCCTAGTCATTATGATAAACAGAATGGATAAACTATAAATATATTTTTCTATGCAAAATGTATAGCTCCTTTCAACAAAAGGCTTTTAGGTGTCATGTTCTTGCTATTTAACACTTCGTAGAATTTATTGTGTGATTAACCAGAGAGCATATTGATTGTCAGAACAACATAACGCAACTGAGTTTTTTAATGAAAAATCATTATGAGGTGTACTAGCAATGAATAATACTTTGTAGAAGCAAGTTATACCACATGGTCACTCTCTTTAACATGGAAATAGGTGCAAAAAAATAAACATCTCAATAAATAAAGAAAACCACCAGTAAAACAAAACTATGCTAGTTATGGAAATGCAAATACACACAAAGACACAGACACACACATTCAGTATACTTTTTTAAAGTAGCATGGATTGATAATTGATTTAAATATCTCTGCCTCTACATGTTTAGTGTCTCTAAAAAAATCCTTTCTTATTTGATTGGCTTATCACCCTACATAATGGCTCTGTAATCTGTATTCCATAGCAACTTTATTAAGATATGATTCATACATCATAAAATTAACCAGTAAAGTATACAATTTAATGTTTTTATTATATTCACAGTTGTGCAACGAACGCTATAATCTAAATGCAGAATATTTCATTAATGAACAAGAAGCTCTGTACTCATAAGCCATTATTCTCCATAGCCCTCGCTCCCAATCTGCCCTATGAAATCACTAATATGTTTTCTGTCTTTACAGATTTTGCCTATTCTGTGCACTTCTATAAAGGGAATCTTACAATGTATCTTTTGTCACTGGTTTCTTTCACTTAGCACAATGTATTCAAGGTTCACCCATATTGTAGCAAGTGGTAGAATTTCATTCCCTTTATTACTATATAATAATTCAGTTGTATGCATATACCATATTTTGTTTATCCCCTTGAAAGTTAATCAACATTTAATTCATTTCCATTTTCTGATTTTTATGAGTAATGTTGATATGCACAAGTATTTGAGTGAGCATATATTTTATTCCTTTTGGGTTTATACCTAGGAATGGAATTGTTGGGTCATATAGTACATCTATATTTAATATTTAGAGGGGGTTGAGGTTTCTTTCCAAAGTTTCTGACCAGTTTACATTTGCACCAGCAATGTGTGAGGTTCTAACTTCTCCATATACAAAGATATTGTTGTTGTCTGATATTATTATTATAGCCATCCTAATGGGTGTGAAATAATGTTTCAATTTGGTTTAGATTTGCTTTTTCCCTAATAATTATTTGTGTTGAACATGTTTTCATGTACTTAGTGGCCACTTTATATCTTCGTTGGAGAAAAGTTGGTTCAGATCTCATTTGCTCATTTTGAATGAGATATCTTTTATTTATTATTTAACAATTCTCTATGTATTCTATATGCAAGTAGTTTATTAGATAAATGATTTACAGATATTTCATTTGCAAATATATTAATCTCATTCTGTGGTTTTTCTTTTCACTTTCTTGGTAGTATTGTTTATGGCAAAAAGTTTTTTGATTTTGATGAATTGAATTTATCTATTGTTTTCTTTGTCACTTCTGGTCTCAGTGTCTTATCTAAGAAACAATTGCCTAAAGAAGTTGAGAAATAGTATCTCTGTTTTCTTCTAAGAGTTTTATTATTTAGGGTGTTACATTTAGGTTTGTGATATATTTTAAGTTAATTTTTATATATAATATGAGATAGATGTTTAACTTTATTCTTTTGCATTTGGATATCCAGTTGTCCCAATACCAATTGCTGAAAATACTAATTTTCACCATTGAATTGTCTTGTCAATCTTATCAAAAATCAGCTGACAATTAATGTGAGAACTTATATTTAGATTATCAAATTCTATTTCACTGACTGATGGGTACATCCTTATGTCAAAACCACACTGTCTTTATTGTTACTTTGTAGTAAGTTTTGAAATCAGAAAGTGTGAATCCTCCAATTTTGTTGTGCTTTGTATTAGTCAGGGTTCTCTAGAGGGACAGAACTAATAAGACAGATGAACATGTGAAGGCGAGTTTATTAGGGGAATTGACTCACACAATCACAAGGTAAAGTCCCACAGTCAGCTATATGCAAGCTGAGGAGCAAGGAAGTCAGTCTGAGTCCCAAAACCTCAAAAGTAGGGAAGCCGACAGTGCAGCCATCAGTCTGCGGTCGAAGGCCCAAGACCCCCTGGCGAACCACTGGTGTAGGTCCAAGAGTCCAAAAGCCGGAGAACTTAGAGTCCAATGTTTGAGGGCAGGAAGCATCCAACACTGGAGAAAAATGGGGTCCAGAAGATTCAGCCAGTATAGTCCTTCCACGTTCCTCTGTCTGCTTTTATTCTAGCTGTGCTGGCAGCTGAACAGATGCTGCCCACCCAGATTGAGGGTAGTTCACCCTCAATCCACCAATCCACCAACTCAAAGCACAATTTAAAGTCTTTTTTAAATCCACCGATCCACCCAATCCACCAACTCAAATATTAATCTTCTTTCACAACGCCCTCACAGACAGACCCAGGAACAATACCTTGCATCCTTCAATTCCATGAAATTGACACTCAGTATTAACCATCACGTTTTTTAAATATTTCAATATTGTTTTGGCTTTCTAGGAATTGGTCTGTTTCATCTAGGGTATCTAATTTGTTGGCAAACAATTGTTTATAATATTCCTTTATAAGCCTTTCTTAAGATTTCTGTTAGGTCAATACTGTGCTAATGTCCTCTATTTCATTTCTGATTTTAGAAATTTTACTTCCCCCTTTTTCTTTGTCTGTCTAAAGGTTGGTCAATGTTGTTGATCTTTTCCAAAAGTTAATTTTTGGTTTCATTGATTTTTTATCTATCCTCCATTTCTTTAATTCCAACTCAAATTTTAACTTTTTTTCTATTTGCCTTTTCTGTAGTTTACTCTTTTTTTTCCAGTATCTTATTGTGGACAGTTAAATTATTAATTTGGAATGTTTCTTCTTCGTTAATATAAATATATACAGTTAGAAAGCTCTGTGTAAGCACTGTTAGCTGTGTCCTGACATTTGCTATGTTCTGTGTCAATATTCTTTAAAGTATTTTGTATTTCCCTTGTGATATCTTTTATAACACATTCACTGTTTAGGGGTGTATTGCTTATGCCCATATATTTGCAAATTTCCAAAATTCCTTTCTGATGTTATTTTTCTAATTCCATTTCATTATTGTGGGAGAACATATTTGCATAATTTATTTTAAATATGGGGGTACTTGTTTTATGTCTTCTTCTATCATCTATCCTGGATAATGTTTCACTTGAATGTAATGTGTATTCTACAATTGTTAGAGTGTTCTGTAGATGTTTTTGTTTTTGCCTTAGTAGTTATTCTAGGGTTTATAGAATCTATCTTAATTTGTAAAAAGAGCTTCATATTTATACTTAATTTTGGGGAGATACAGAAATATTACTTTTAAATTCTATTCATTTTGACCACTTTTTGTGAAATTATTATACATATTACATGTAGCCATGAATTTTTAACCTCATCTACATTATAATATTAATTTATATTACTTTATGTTTTTAAATAACTAAAGAAAGGTATATATTTATAGTTATATTTGTTTATATTGTCTTTTGTAATTACATTATTCCCTTTACCGCTGATATGTTGTCATATGGATTAGATTTATTGTCTGGGGTTACTTACTTTCAGCCTTCAGAACTTCCCACAGTAATTCTTGTAAGGCAAGTCTGTTAGCAAGATATTCTTCAGCTTATATTTATCTGAGAACATCTCTATTTTGCTTTAATTTGTTAATGCTAGCTTTGATGGATCTAGTATTCTTGCTTGAAGATTTGTGTGTTATAAACACTGTTATCCCACTGCCTTCTGGTTCTATTGCTTCTAAGAAGTCATCTGTTACTCTTATTGAGGTTTTACTTTTATGTTTTTAAGTAATAAGTCATTTTTCCCTTGCAGTTTTCAAGATTTTCTCTTTGTCTTAGCTTATCTTGCTTGGAGTTGTTGAGCTTCCTACATGAGTAAGTTGATGTTTTTCTCTAAATTTATGATGTTTTGAGACATTATGTTTTCCAATATTCTTTTCTGTACTTTTCACTCACGCACTTTTTTTTTTCATAATACCTATTTGGTGCACTTAATGCTGTTTCACATTTCACTGACACTTTGATGATTTTTTTTCATTCATTGTTCTCTCTGGCCTTTGGTTTGCATAATCCTTATTGATCTATCTTCAAGTTTGCTAATTCTTTCTTCTACCAGTTCAAACCTACTATTAATATACTCTGATAAATTTTTTATTTTAGTAATCACACTTTTGAACTACAGAATTTTCAATTGGTTAGTTTTTATAATTTCAGTCTTTTTAGTGATACTGTCTATTTGATGTGGTTTTTTTCATGCCTTCCTTTATTCCTTTAATCATAATTTTATTTAGTTCTTTGAAAATATTC
Organism: Homo sapiens; assembly: GCF_000001405.40. Taxonomy (NCBI): domain Eukaryota; kingdom Metazoa; phylum Chordata; class Mammalia; order Primates; family Hominidae; genus Homo; species Homo sapiens. The sequence goes on from NC_000002.12 coordinate 193,227,806, forward strand.
ATAATGCATATTTTAAAGTCTTTTTTAAATCTGGTCACTCTCACAGGCAGTTTTTAATTGCCTGCTTTTTTGTGATGTATGGGTCATTGTAATGTTGTGAAATATATATTTGGTCTTCAACCCCCGTCTGGCATACAAATCCTAAAACCCTTCGAATCTCCAAAATGTTGAATTTTTATACGCTAATGATTGACTCACAGCTGGCAGCTCCTAGACAGATTCAGGTTGGGGGCTGGCCACCTGAAAGACCAAGGCATGATTAGAGACTTGGGACTTTCAGCCCCACCCAAAACCTTTAGGGAGATGGGGTTAAGTTGATCACCAAATGTCTAATGGATTAACTAATCATTCCTATGTAAGTCTCCATAACAGGCCCAAAGGTTATAGTTCAAAAAGCTTCTGGATAGCTGATAATCTGGAAGTTCCTAAAGAGTAATACACCTGGAGAGGGCAAAGTAGAAGTTCTGCACCCCTTCTCCCATGCCTTGCCTTATGCATCTCTTTATCTGTATCCTTTTAATAAACCAGTAAATATATGTGTTTCCCTGAGTTCTGTGAGCCACCCCAGCAAAATAATTGAATCCAAAGAGGAGGGCTTGGGAATCCCAACTTGAAACAGGTTGGTCAGAAGTTCCAGAGGCTTGGACTTCAACTGGTCTAAAGGGGGCAGTCTTGTGGGACTGAGCCCTCAATCTGTGGGATATGATGCTCTCTGCAGGTAGATAGCATCGGAATTGAATTGAAGGACACCAAGCTGATGTGTACTGCAAAATTACTTGCTTACTTAGTGTCTGGGGGAAAAAAAAAACATGCATTTGGTCACAGAAGTCTGTGTTGATGAGTGTTGTTGTGGTGTGACAGCAGAGGAAAAACATAGTTTTTTTCTGAAAAATCATCTTTTTTTAAATAATCTGTGGATCTCTTCCCATTTCTTTCACCATAACTTCTACTTTTGAGCTCCATCAGGCTTGTTCTTCTTCACACTTTGTTACAAATAAAGTCAGTTCCTTTGGGTAGGGATTTGGAGCTCTCTTTAGTAACTTCTGTACCCTGGGAAAAGTTTCTGAACCATGGCTCTTCTACAGGTATGGGAAAATGGTGTTCTTCTCTCTAAGTGACAGTCTTACTTTAGAAGCTTTGGTGTGTAAGGGGACAACAGCTCCAGGTCTCCTCAGTTTGCCTCTGGAATGGAACCCTCATTCCACGAGCTGAGGTAAATGTGATTGGGGCTCAAGAATTCTCAGCAATGTGGCACCCTAGTAGAGTCTCTACTCCATGAGTGGCGAGAGTGATGGAATAAGGGAGCTTCCACTCCTCAGCCAGTCAGCAAAACTTAGACTTATTGACAGGTAGCTAGGGTAGGATTACAAATACTGATGATAGGCCACTCCTGAGAAGCTAGCCTTCTGAATGGGAGCTCAGGGAAGAAAAAGGTGTGTGTTCTTAGCTGTAGAAGACTTGAATGGAGTTTCTACCTCAGTAAGCTGGGAGAAGGGAGAGAATAAAAATAACCTAGTCAAATACTGCAAACTCTCAAAGTTTGTATTGCACTTTAGTAGATTTTCAGGAATAAATATTTCATCATTAGTCATAGGTTACTAAGTACCATTCTAGAATTTTTTTATTTTTATTTTATGACTTTTACAAGTTTCACTGAGGAGTGGGTCTTCAGAGCTTCTCATGTTGCCTGCTGGAAGTCTTCAGTTCAGTTAATTATTGAACTTATTTCTTGCAACCTTGCTGAACACATTTATTATTTCTAATATTTTTTATTCTTAGGATTACGAGTATATGCACACATACATGTATATGTGTGTGTGTGTGTGTGTGTGTGTGTGTGTGTGTGTTATAATGTCATCTAAAATACAGGTTTAGTTCTGTTCCAATATAGAAGCTTTCTTCCTTCCCATAGCCCCTATTTTCCCTGATTAGAAACCCCAGAACATATTGAATGGAAGTGGAAAAAGTGAATTTCCTTGATTTCTGAACTTAAGGGAAAAACATTAAATTATTTGCCATTAAATATGAAGTTAGTTGTGAGTTTAGTTGCTGACATTCTTGATTAGGTTGAGTACATTCCTTTCCCTCATTTGTTTTTGTTACCATGGAATGGATGTTGGACTCTGTCAAATGCTTTTTCTGTGTCTATTGAGTTAATGATATATGTCTTTTATTCTATTAATATGATGCAACCCTTATATCAATTTCACATATTAAACCATCCTTACATCACTGAGATAAATCCCACTCAGTAACAATGCATAATCTTTTATATATTTTTCTTTTTTCACTTTGCTAATATACTGCTGAGGATTTTTCATTACTATTTATAAGAAATATTGGTCTGCAATTTTACTTCCTAGTGATATCTTTATCTGGTTTTGGCATCAATGTAATGAACGTATTTGAGAGGTATGGTAGATAATATCTTATTAAAATTTTAAAATATTTAAATATACTAAACATAGAAAATAATATAATTACATCTACATGCCTATAATCATTTAAATAATAATACATTTTAACAAATTGAATAATAAATGCCAAAATTTTATTCTATTTTAACAATGTCAGACATTCAGCAATGATGTCCAATATGATGCTATACATTACTTTATCTTTAAAGAACTGTGAGTTACTATTAAAACCTCACTACTGCCATGAATGGTTTTGTAGTTTTCTTTATATAAGTATGTATAATGTGTTGAATATTAAAATAGTTATATTTTTATTGGCCAACCCTTTAAAAAAATCTTCATTTTAGTCTTTTATTATATTGATGAAAATTTATTTGTGCTTTTTTACCTTTTAATAGATTAGAAGATTTACATTCTACTCTACTTTTTAGTGAATACTTTTATGTTTTTTCTATGTATGCTTGTCTTAAAGTTTTAACTAAATCAATACTTTGATAAATTACCTAAACAAGAAAATGAGGCCATTTATAATTGGATCACTCTTTCCTTTATTATATATTGCATTTTGGATACATTTTTAAAAAATTATTCTGCTATTTTATCTTTTCAGTTAGTTCCAATGAATGTATTTTTAGTTTTAGAGATTTTATATTTTTTTCTAAAATATTACTCTTCTTTTTATGAGAACCTATTTTTTTGTTTCTGATTAAACAGTTTTATTTTTATATTATAATTCAATTCTCTAGGTCTTTTTTGATATAATTTAGCTGTTTGTTGTAATTTATCTTTTGTATTTTAATTATGACATTATATTCAGCATGGCTTCTTTTTATGTAAGGAAACCTCGAGGTTTGGCTGTGGAAGTGCCTTTCTAGATCAATTTTGCATTAGTTTCTGCTAGACACCTGAGGTATACCATAGAACTTGGATCAATTTTTAATATAATATTCAAAACTTGAGGCTTCCCTGAATAAATGAGTAGTATAAATTTAAATCCCAGTCTTCATGAATCCAAAGTCTGTGGCTTCAACTTCTCAGGAGAGATATTTTTCCTTTCTTCCAGAGCTCATACATAATCAAACATGTTTTTATATTATCATCTGCCTTTGCTGTTAGGTGTCTTTAAAACTCTACTCCATCATTACCTTGAGAATCCCAATTTTCTGTCAAAAAGTTTGTTCCAGTCTTCTACTTTATAAGAAGCTGAGGTCTTGACACCTATTGCAATGGCAGATTATAAAAGTCTTGCCACTACTATGTTACATCTTTTATCCAAACTCTATTTCAATCCCACCCCTGGGGAAAGTAACTATTCATGTATTCACCCCTGTGAAAGGTCTCATTTCTTTGCAATTTCATCTTTGGAGTATCTGAAATCTTCCCTTCTCTCCTGGACACTCGGCTATTCCTTTTTTTTTGTAATGCAGAATTTCAGATTTTGTAAAAAAGATTTTAAAATTGCTTACTTCAAATGTTAGAAAAGAAAAACTGTACTTACTTTTCTTACATTTCTGTTCTTTAGAAAAATAAGTCTAGGTTTCAGGCAGTCATGTGGTATGGGGCAGGCACATGTTCACTGGGCCCAGGTGATGTGGTTTTGGGGAAAACTCTAGTAGGAAACAGATGGCAGAGTGCACAGGACTGTGCTCGTGAGCCACACGGGGTAGTGGCAAGGCTCTAAGTTGAGATTGAAAGCAATTATTATACTGACCTTTCCAATCAGATGCCATTTTATATATTTTCTTTTAGCATTATTATTTTACACATATATTATATCTCTTCATCTGTTTGTGATACATAAAAGCTGGACAGTGACAACTGTTAAAATAAGCAGTTTATAAATATAAGGTTGGCTTAAGAAACCTACATTAAGAAAAGGAAAGATCTCAAAGAAACAACCTAACTTTACACTCCAAGTAACTAAAAACAAAGAGAGAATGAACCAAGCACAAAGTTAGCAAAATAATGAAAATAATAAATATTAAAGGAGAATATATGAAATATAGAGTAGAAAAAAGCAATAGAAAAGACCAACAAAGCTAAGTTAGCTTTTTGAGAAAATATTGACCAAGAAATAAGAACACAGACTCAAATAAATACATGTATAAAAGAAAGAGGAAACATTGCAGCTGATACCACAGAAATACGAAGGATTATCAGACAACATTATAAACAATTTTAGACCAACAAATTAGATAACCTAGAATAAATGAATAAATTCCTAAAAACATACAACCTACTGAGATTGAACCACGAAGAAGTACCATCTGAACAGAACAATAAAGAGTACGAACATTGAATCCAAAATCAAAAACCTCCCCCAAAAATAAGGCCAGGGCCAGATGGCTTCACTGGCAAATTCTACAAAACATTTAACAAATAAATGTTTCTCAAACACTTCAAAATATTAAGTGGAATGGAACACTTTCAAACTTATTTTATGAAGCCAGAATTACCTTGATACCTAAGCCAGATAAGGACACTACAAGAAAAGAAAAATCACAGACCACAATCTTTCATGAACATAGATGTAAAAATCCTCAACAAATATTGGCAGATAAAATTCAATAGTACATTAAAAGGATCATTTTCCATGATCAAGTGGAATTTATTCTTGGGATACCAGGATGGTTCAACAAACACAAATTAATAAATGGGATATGCCACAAGAGCACAATGAAAGACATAAATGATGTGATTATTTTAACAAATATACAGTATTTGACAATATTCAACATCTTTTCTTAATAAAAACACTCAAAACATTGGTATAGAAGGAATATACCTCAATGTGATGAATAGGATAGAATAGAATAGATCCTAAAATGCACATGAATCCACAAAGACCCTTAATAGTCGAAGCAATATTGAGTAAGAAAAAACTTTGAAGTATCAAACTTACTGACTTCAAATTAAATCCCAAAGGGATACCAATACAAATGTATGATGTTAGTTTAAAAACAGACAAACAGACTAATGGAACAAAGTGGAGAGCCCAGAAATAGTCTCACATAAATATGGCCAAATAATTTTCAACAAGAGTTCCAAAAGTACACAATGGGTAAAAGCCTCTTCAATAAATGGTGTTATAAAAGCTGGATAGTCACATGCAAAATAATAAAAGTGGACCCTTATCTTACTCCATATAAAAATCAACTCAAAAAGGATTAATGACTTAAATATGAGGCCCAAAGCTGTAAAACTCTTAGGAGAAAACATCGTAGTTAAGCTCCTTAACATTGATCTTGGCAATGATTTTATTTGGACATGACACCAAAAGCACAGGCAATTAAAGCAAATACAGATGAATTATATTACATCAAACAAGAAAGCTTCTGCACAGCCATGGAAATAGTCAACGAAATGAAAAGGTAACCTACCGAATGGGGTGAAATATTTGCAAACTATATACCTAATTAAGGTTAATATTCAAATTATGTAAGAAGCACACAAAACTCAGTGACGAAAACAAAACAAAATAAACAAAAAAACCCATGATTTTTTAAATGAGCAAAGGAATTGAATAGACATTTCTTAACAGAAATACAAATGGCCAACAGGTATATGAAAAGGTGCTCCACACCACTAATCATTGGAGAAATACAAATCAAAACCACAAAGAATTATCACGTCATACCTATTAGGATGGCTGTTATAAAAAGATGATAAATGTTAGTGAGGATATAAAGAAAAGGAAAACCTTATACACTGTTGTTGGAAATGTAAATTGCTACAGCAGTTATAGAAAACAGAGTAGAAATTACAAAAAATTTAAAAAAACTACCATATGATCCAGAAATCTCACTTCTGGGTATACTGAAATCAGACATTGAAATCAGAATCTCAAAGATATATTTGTACTCCCATATTTATTGCAAAATTCTACACAATAGCCAATATGTTGAAGCAAACTAAATGCCTATTGACTAATGAATGGATAAAGAAAATTAGATACACACCCGCACATACATATACACACACGCATACATATGTGTATGCAAACTTATATATGCAATGGAATATGATTCCACCCAGAAGGCAATTCAGGCCGGGCACGGTGGCTCATACCTGTGATCCTAGCACTTTGAGAGGCCGAGGAGGGAGGATCACAAGGTCAAGAGATCGAGACCATCCTGGTCAACATGGCAAAACCCCATCTCTATTAAAAATACAAAAATTAGCTGTGTGTGTTGCACATGCCTGTAGTCTCAGCCACTCAGGAGGCTAAGGGAGGAGAATCGCTTGAACCCAGGAAGCAGTAGTTACAGTGAGCCAAGATCATGCCACTGCACTCCAGCCTGGTGACAGAGTGAGACTCCGTCTCAAAAATTAAAAAAAAAAAAAAAAAAAAAGGCAATTCTACCTCTTGCAACATGGATGGACCTGGAGGCCATTATGCTAAGTGAAATAATCTAGTCACAGTAAAACAGATATTGTATGATCTCACTTACAAGTGGAATCTAAAATAGTCAAACTCATAGAAATGGAGAATAAAATGGTGGTTGCTGGGGATAGGGAAGAGGAGGAAATAGGAAGATGATTGTAAAAGTGTACAAAATTTCGGTTACTCAAGATAAATAATTTCTGAAGATATAATATACAATATAATGCCTAGAACTAACATATACTTAAATTTTTCTAAAGATAAATCTTATGCTAAATGTTCTTCCACAGAAGAAAATAACAAAATAATAATAATGAAGGAGATGGGAGGAAATGTTGGGAAGTGATGGATATATTTATGGCATTGATAGAAGTGATAGTTTCACAAGTATGTATTTATCCTCAAACTCATCAAGATGTAGGTATTAAATATGTACAGCTTTTTAATATCTTAATCATACCTAACAAAAGTTAAAAAATAAATTATAGCAACAAATGCCTTTTAAAAAGTTTACTAAAAAGGAAAGAACATGGCTTACACTTGGGGCTCTTCATACTAAGAATATCTAAATGGAAGTAAAATTTATGTAAAATCAGACTTTATCAAAAATAGAAATCTGAGTTTTAGAGCTATATGACATTTAAATAACTGAGCATAGCTTGAATATGGCCACATGGGCAGAGCAACCTTATCTGTTTCATCTCTACTTTCTTAGGATTCATCTGTTATGAAGTCAAGCCCTTTTTAAATTTTAGAAAACTCTGAACCTCAACTAGGACTGATGAGTGTTTTTATTTAATCCTATCTTGTTCTTTCAAACTGAATATCAGCACTGCAGTGAACAGAAACTGCATTAAACAGAAAACTGCTTTAGTGTTTTAGACTATAAAAACCAGTCCTGAGATATAGCCCTTTGTTTATTATTTACTTCGGAGTTCGGTCGTGAAGGAAATACCTGATTTTATTATAACATTTGGCACAACAACCTGATCCCAAGATTGTTTTTTAGCAGATTCTATAATAGTCAATTAGCTGGTGCCTGCCATTAAAAAGATTTAAAATTATTACCATAAAATGACTAATTTACATTCCTTTCTAGGAAATAAACAACTACAATATGGATAATATTAATATTTGAATCTTTAGTTTTCAGCTAATATTACTGACATAATATGTTGATATAAATATTAGAAAAGGAGAGGAAACCCCACAGAAGCCCAGTTAGATACTATGTTCTAGTTGTCTGAGAAGCCTCCAATCTTATCATGTAGAATTTATGGACCCTGTATTTGGCATAGAGATTTGAAATTCAAAAGATTTGTAAACAGCACTGTCTTAAATAGTACACAGCAAAAATATTTGTAGAGTTATAAAAACTAAAACACCAGAACACATTTTATTTGTGACATTTGAAACACTAAATGAATCGTTCAAATTTTTTCATAAAGTAACTACATGCACCGTGCAAGAACATGTTTACCATTATCCTGCTTTATGTATTGTTAATAAAGCATCTACTTGAAATTACAATGTAAAATAAAAGAAGAATATGAGAAATAATCTGATGACTACAATTTATCAGACAACTATTTTTTTCAAGTGACATATTGGGGAAATGAGAATACAGATTAATAACTAAAATGGCTATAATCAATAAAACAGCAAGGCAGAGAAATGTGTTTAACTATAATTTTGTTTGACTGATGTCTTAAGCATATAAAATTCTGATTGAGATTTTGTAGAAAAAATGCACTAAATTTATTCCAATAAAGATTGTGTTATTTGAAATTATATTCTAAACACTACATTACAAAAAACCAGTATTTAATATTGGCATTTCTCAATAGAAAAAACAAGTAATTACTAATTTCAAAAATTATATAGTAAAATGATTGCAGAAAATATTAGCCTAACAGAGAAAGTTGACTTTTTCTGATTAATCCAGAATTATTCAATTAAATAATCTTTTGACTCTGATAAGCCAGAGGTTTGCAACATTTAAATTGTATGTAATTTTAATAATGCAATTATTCCTCTCTTGCTTAACCATTTATTATTAGAGACTTATATCTTGTCAATGAAATGCGTTCTGAAGAAATAGAGTTTTCAAAGTTTACTTTTATTATGAAAGTATCAAAATGTCAATTTTCAAAGTACAAATAAAATATACATAGAAACTATTGTGCTCATTATATGAAAGTATAATCCTCAATGTTGTGGAAAGCAATACATACTAAGGTAGACTTTTATTTAAATAAAAATTATAAATATTGGGTAGTTCTCTGAACTAGATTAGATTATTAGATTGCTAGAATATAAAATAACTTTTAGTTCTATAACATTCATTGAATTTAAAATAAAAACCAAATTAGATTGGCAACTTCTGGGGCAGATTCTAAAGGGAATCATGATTACTGTTCTTCAAAAACTTGCAATCCTGTAAGAGATGAAAAGTCATGTACATTTTTAACAATAATGCAATTATTATCGTTTACTAAACACCTATGAAACTGTACATGTATTACATATGTAATGCACTTGGTGTTTTAATAAATGCTATTTTCTTTATCCTCCAAGGAATTCTTGAAATCTCGTTTTCCCTGTATTACGAAAGAGAAAATTGGAGCTCAAGGAGATGAGACAATATGCAAAAGTCATATTATCACAGGATTCGACTAGAGGTCCATCTAATTCTATAGTCATTGCAATTCCCAATGGACACAGTTGTTACAAATTATTAAGCATACCTACTATATGGTATATATACTATGACAGCACAGGATGCAATAAAAAGGATGAATGATGTCACATTATGAAACATTCAATAAAATAGGTAAGAATGAAACATTATGAAAATGGATATAATATCCAGAAAAAAGACTATCATTTCATGTGCCCTTAATTTCTTTTATGCAGACACTTATGAGACCACACTCATATTCATATTTCTAAATCCTCTTGTCATTGCATGATGAAAACAGTGAGTGAGTATTAATGGTTTCCTATAACAATTACACCATTATGCAACTCTAACAATGACAATAATAATAATGGCCAATACGAACTTTAAAAGGAAATGATAAATTTCCTCAAAGCAAAGCCTACAGAAAATATCACAATTTCATATTACATATGACTAAATAAAAACATCTTTACATTTTTATCTCAGAGAGTATTTTCTTCTTTTAATTCACTAAAAACGAACCACACAAAGAAATGATAATGGTTTGAGTTTATGGCTATGCTAATTATCTGAATCTGATTCTTACACATTACATATAACAAAGTACCACTACATACCTCATGAATATGTGCAATTATTATTTATCAATTTGAAAAATTAAATTTAAAAAGACAGAAAAAGTGTGATTATTTGTCAAACATCTGCTTTATTTGTTAGTAGTAAACACTCAAAATGTTGTAATCTAACCAACCTATAGTGAATCAAATTCTATGTGAATTAAATTTACTCTAGTGACAATAGCATCCCTATAACTTAAATAAGATTGCTTCTGTGTTAAGTATAATCAACACATAACAATGAACTTATAGTGTTATCAGACTAAATTATTTTTTAATTTATTTTCCAATTTGTATTTCAGTAATGAATACATTCCAGGAATGAGACATGTAGTTCTTCCTTCTTGATATTATAATGTAATATTAAGTGTTATGAAACACAACATATAAAATAATCGAATATACGTCTTATTTCTTATGTGTTTCTATTTCTGGACTTTCTTCTTTCTTTGTGTGTATGCATGTGTGTGTGCATCTACTTATCATAGTTCTTTATTTTAAATATCTACATATATATATGGCATATGGAATAGTAAATTTTGTTGACAACTCTTCTTTCACTTTTTTATTGGCTTCGTAAAACTAAATGACCCTTAATATGGACACTAAAATTACCATAAAATAGATTTCAAAATAGTGGAAACATGAATTGTCAAATAAAGAGTCTATAAAACTTGAAAATAGCTTAAACAAACATCAAAACATTTTCTAATCTTTGGGTAAAAACCATGATTTGAAATATTAATTATCTTCGCAGAATTTTTTAAACCAGTAAATAGAAGTTTTGACACTAAATTATCTTAAAATCCATAGCAATATTAAAGTTCATGCCACTTTAATAACAAATTACAGATGATTCTCGGGTTACATCCTGATAAATCCATTGTAAGTTGAAAATATTGTAAGTCAAAATGCATTTAATACAGCTAATGTACCAAACATCCTAGCTTAGCCTAGTCTATCTTAAATGTGTGCAAAATAATTATACCAGCCTAGAGTTAAACAAAATCATCTAACACAAAGATTATTTCAAAATAAAGTGTTGAATATCTCATGTAATTTATTGAATTATGTACTAAAAGCAAAAAACAGAATGATTGTATGGTACCTGAAGCCCAATTTTTAATGATAGATAACCATACAGACTTTTTCTGGAATTGTATCAATATTACATGTTTTGGCCCATATTTAATTAAATGACAGGAAAAATGTGTAGACTACTCATTTTTATGTGTCTTCTATGTGATTAAGATACCTGAATGATTTTAGGTGCATGCCATACGTGTGTGTGTGTGTGTGCTCATGTGTGTCACTGTTAATGATTTTAGAGTAAGAGAGCATAGTTTGGCTATACATATATAAAGACACATATATATAATATATCATATATTTATTTAAAATACTTTTAAGTTTACAGGAAATTTATGAGAATACTATTTCCACATACCTCACACTATGTTTCCCTGATTATTAATGTCTTACACTATTACTGTGGTACATTTGTCCAAACTATGAACTAATATTGATATAATTTTACTAACTAAAGTCTATTCTTTGTTTGTATTTCCTTTCTGCATTCCATGACCCCATCCAGTATAGTGCATTACATTTAGTTGTCATGTCTCCCTCGGCCCCTCTAGACTGTAACAGTTTCTCAGACTTTATTTATTCTGGATGATCTTGATGGTTTTGAGGAGTACTTATCAGGTATTTTATAAACTGTTTTATAATTTCAATTGTCTAATGTTTTCCTCAGGGTTGGACAGGGGTTATATGTTTTGGGGAGGAAAATAACAAAGAAAAGTTTTGCTTTCATCATATCACATCAACAGTAGATACCTTGATCACCTGAATAAGGCACTGTTTGTCAGTTTTCTCCACTGCAAAATATTATTCTCCTCACCCCACCAGCCTTGGACTACCATACTCTGTAAAGAAGTCATTCTGCACAGCTCAAATTTAAAGGTCAGGGACTTATACTCCACCTTCTTGGATGGGAAGCAACTACATAAAACATTTGTAATTATTCTTCTTGAAAGAAGTGTCTATTGTCCCTCATTGATCTGTTCAATCATTTTTTTATATCAGTATAACTCAAGAATACTTATTTTGAACTTTCTTCTTATTCTAGTATGTTACACTTTACAATGTTTTAATTAATTAATGGACATTTGCTTCTGTTTCGTTAATTCTTTTTTATCCTTTGTATATTTCAGTTTGTGAAGCTCCTCAATTTCACTGATTATTTATTTCAACATGTGGAGCCTATTGATGAAAGCTTAGAAGACTTTCTTTATTTCTCTTTTGGTGTTTCTTATTTATACCATTTTCTTTTTATTTTCAGGGCTTTTGTCTTGGCTTACATAACCCATCTTTTATTGCATGGCATCTACTTTACCATTGGAGTACTTAACATATTAACCTAATAGGTATAGTTATCTTGAATTCACCGTCAATAGTTCTAACATCTGTGTTGTATTTGAATCTAGTCCTGAAAATTTATTTGTCTCTTCAGATTGTGTCTTCTTTTGCCTTTGACATACTTTGTAAATTTTAATTGAAGGCAAGACATGTTGTATTGAGGAATAGAAATTGAAGCAAATAAGACTTGAATGGGAGGGTTCATGATAATTTGGCTAGGAGTCAAGCCATGTTTAATGATGTCTATTGTAGCTACAGAAAATAGGAATTCAAATTCCTTTAGCGGCCCCTCTTGGTATTGGGAATTCGCTATGTGTTCTCATTGAAGACAGACTTTTTATGTTTTATTTTTTTCAGTTTTAAACACTTATTTTTTAAAGCTGGAGTCTTGTTAGTACAGTATTAGGATATGAGAGTGTTAGGTAGGAGTGTTTTATAATCCGATTAACTCTCATTTTAAGGTAGGAGTGTTTTATAATCTGATTAACTCTCATTTTATAGGGAGCCTGTTGGGAATATTTGGCCTTCCATAGATGTTTCTGCCTGTCCTCCACAGGTATAGCTTTTTTTCTCCCTTGCTCCATACTCCTGTCTCTGGCTAAAAATTCTCAATATATTTGTTTAAAACTCTGCCCCCTATTGGCTATGTTTTATAGTGAAACAGGAAGAATAGCAGGTGCTGCAGTGTGAAGAATTCTCTTCATCCAGCTGGGATAAAATTTCAGAGTTGGCTTCAGTGAAGTGTTAACCTCTATTAAATAGTTTTTTGTGTGTTTGTTTTGTTTGTGTGTTAGTAGAGGAGGTTTTGGTCATGTTTCATAATGGTTACTCTTCTCCTCCCTCCCCTGGGACCATGGGAGTTATTTCTCAGATTCACATTTTGAGAATATGATGAGATACCTAGAAGTAAAACCAATTAAGGAACAGCCTACATTGGCAAACTGTAGCTTCTGGAGTTTCTCACTCTTATGTTCGTCCATACTCAGTTTGAGAAGTTCATCAGAATTACAACTTGTTTTCCTACCATTTTATGGCTTCAGTGGCTTCTGCCCCAAGTAAACAGATTTGAGTTGCAATATCTCTCTGGAAGTACCTGTCTCTTCAGATTTTAGTATGGCAGTGTGTCCTCCAACCTCAGTTCTCTGATAAGTCTGAGAAAAGTAATTGATTCTCAGAATTTACTGAGAAAAGTAAATTCTTTAAAGAATTTCTTCTTTTAAATTCAAGTGTGGAAACTTCCAAGGTATTTTTATGTCAGACCTACAAGCAGAAGCTTTTTCATACTGGGTTTGGACTAATTGTACTAATTGAGTTTTTAATCTTAGCTAAAATACTGACTTGTGTTTTTTTCTCATATATGTGTGCATGTGTATATATATATATATACACACATATATACATGCACACATATGCAAATATACATATGCGCATATACATATGCACATATAAATATACATATGCAAAAATATATACATGTATTATATATATTATGTGTGTTTGTGTATATATATATATATATATATATTTCTGGGATAAGTGGCTCGATCTATTTACTCCTGCATTTCCTAATTTTAAAATAGGAGTAATATTATCTATCACATAGAATCGCTGAAAGGATTAAATTTTAAGTGATAAGTTGATCAAATATTTTGATCACAATTCTTGCTAACTAGAAAATATTTAATTAAGGAGAGTTATTATGCTACTTTTTCCTTAAATGTCCTGTCCTTTTAAATACCAGCAGACAAATAGAAGGACTCTAGTTCCACAAGATGACATTGGCAAACTTAAGTATTTAATGTACCACATTTCTATGTACCGCTTAGAAATATGGATAGGGCAATTAGAACTGACATGTGGTAATTTTTCTTGGCTAAGGCAGAAATTTCTTCTATATATTAGAAGCTGCCCTAGAAAATAAACAAACAAAATCCAGAAAGAAGACAAAGAGGACTTTCCTTTCTTTTTTTAAATCCAATTATAAGTTACATGGTTGAAAACTCACAAAATTAGAAAATAACTGTACTTCAAATTTTACATACCTTAGGCATTGAATAGTAATCATGTTTTCAATCAACTTTTTTTTATCACCAAAGTTGCACTACAAGGCAGAATTTGTTTTCCATCCATCCAGTAGATATTCCTTACTGTGCTAAAATTAAAGAGAAATCTTGCTTATTTGATTATATTATGGCAAGAGCCACAATTTTATATTTAATGAAATCCGTTATATGTAACTTCCAACCTTAAAAAGAAAATGTAAGGCATATGGCTTCACCTTGAATTTGCTTTAAATTAAAATACAATAAGTACTGTTTCAGAGATGGAAGATAATCACTTAAATGGAAATTTGCAGAAGCTGTTAATCAATATCAGAATATTTTGTATCTCTTCTCCTGCCTGATTTATGATTCATTTAGTCATAAGTGAAGCTATGAGAAGAAATTAATGACACAGTGGGAAGATGTAGTGATTATGTCTATACTTACAAAACAGACTAGCTAAAGGTTATCCAGGTTATCCATGCCTCCAAACCTTTTCAGTAATTTTTACAGTACTTTAAGCTATAGGTTGAGCTGTGTCCCTTAAATATTCTATTTTGAAGTCCTAACCCCCAGTAACTTAGAAAGTGACTATATTTGGACATACAGTCTTTGAAGAGGTAATGAAGTTAAAATGAATTCACAATCAAATATAACTACAGTCCCTATGAGAAGAGAAAATGAGTACACAGACTTATACAAAGGGAAGACCACGTGAAACACAGAGAAAGCACTTATCTGCAAGCAAAAGAAAGAGGCCTCTGAGGATACAAACTCTGCCAACACCTTGATCAAGAACTTCTAACCTCCAAATTTGTGAGAAAACTAATTTTCTGAGTTAAGTCACTTTTTCTGTGGTGCTTTGTTATGGTATCCCTATGAATACCATAACAAAGCACCTATAATAAACCTAATAAGAAAGAATAGAAAATGTATGAATGAAAATACTATGATAGGCCAGGCTTGGTGGCTTGCCTGCAATCCCAGCGCTTTGGGAGGCCGAGGGAGACGAATCACACGAGGTCAGGAGTTCGTGACCAGCCTGGCCAACATGGTGAAACCACGTCTCTACTAAAAATACAAAAATTAGCCAGCCATGGTGGTGCACACCTGTAATCCCAGCTACTCGGGAGGCTGAGGCAGGAGAATCGCTTGAACCCGGGATGTGAAGGTTGCAGTGAGCCGAGATTGTGCCACTGCACTCCAGCCTGGGAGACAAAGTAAGGCTCCATCTCAAAAACAAACAAACAACAACAACAAAAGTATTAAAAAAAATAAAAAGAAAGAAAGAAAGAAAGAAAAAAACCTAAAGGGGCAAAAGCATTTGAAAACATTCAAATTCGAATTCATTAGTATTCAGGGCAATGCATATCAATACAAATATGAGATACCACTTTACAACTATTAGCTTGACAAAAATTTAGAAGATGAATCACAGCAAGTGTTGCCAAAATTTTGGGAAGATAAAAATCCTTGTGCACAATTAGTGGGAGTGTAAACTGCCACAGGAACTCAGGCAAACAACAAATGCTATTTAATTAAATTATCTGCTTGCCTTCTTTATGAAATTCTGCTTGCCAATCTATCCCAAAGAAATATTTGAAAAGGTAAAATCTATACATATATATATATATGATACATATAGTAGATAATATAGAAACCTGAATGCTCACAAAAACATAATATTTAGTGAAAAGGTAAGAAACATAATATGATATATGGTACAATATCATTGCATAAATTTAAAAATATATGCCCACTAAACAAAAAATGAATATAATTAATAAAAATGAGATAAATATTTTATACATAATAGAATTATTCATTATGAAGACAAGAATAAGGAGACTGGCTTTCAGAACTATAAAAAGGAACACACATTTAAAACTAAAATAGAATATAAAAATTACAAAAGAAAGGACACACTTTATATCACGTATTTTTTTTAAAGATAAGGAGAGGCATAGATTTGGTGTTTGTATTATTTATTTATGTGCCTGGCAAACTAATGCTCAATAAATATTTATTAATTGAATAATTAATGAATAAAAAATGAGTAGATAGATAAAAATGAGAGGATATATGAGTGATGATTATAATAATTTTTATATGATATTTAATATGTACTATTGGATTCTGCTAGTTTCTTTCCATATGTCAAATTATTTAATCCTAACAATGTTTCTATGAAGTAGCTACTATAAATAATCCTGTCTTACAGATTAAGGAACTGAGGCAAAGAGGTTATATAATTTGGCTAAATCCAGAAAATTACAAAATGAGCACGTTAGAGACATTTCTTAAAACACACACACAAGCACACACACACAAGCACACACACACACATACCACATATATGCACTCTCCATGACAAGTTATTTAAGAATGCATGAGATATAAATTTGGAAGCAAGATATGGGTTATAGCTATCAATATGGAAATATTTAAAATTAAGGTAGATTGCTATTTTGATACAACATTAAAATATTATGTAGATAATGAATGGAAAAATCTTAAGGAAATAAAAATTGCTAAATAAAAATCAAATGATCAACACTCCTAGATAATCTAACCTAATTTTTCTGCCTATTTGAATAGGAAGATTTGAAGATTGCTTTTTTTGAATACAATAACCCAAACATATGGAGAAATTTTATAAAAACCAATAGTATAAATTGGCTTCTATTAATATACGATACTATTTTTACTTGTTTGTCTTAATCTGAAAGATAAGCATTTTTGTGATTGAATTTAGTTACTGTCAGACCTGATAATTCTAGGTTATTCTTTTTTTTAATTTTTTTATTATATTTTAAGTTCTGGGGTACATGTGCAGAACGTGCAGGTTTGTTACATAGGGATACACGTGCCATGTTGGTTTGCTGCACCCATCAACCCGTCATCTACATTAGGTATTTCTCCTAATGCTATACCTCCCCCAGGCCCCCACCCCCCAACAGGCCCCAGTGTGTGATGTCCCACCCCCTCCATGTCCATGTGCTCTCATTGTTCAAGTCCCACTTATGAGTGAGAACATGTGGTGTTTTGTTTTCTGTTCTTGTGTTAGTTTGCTGAGGATTATGGTTTCCAGCTTCATCCATGTTCCTGCGAAGGACATGAACTCATCTTTTTTTATGGCTGCATAGTATTCCATGATGTATATTTGCCACATTTTCTTTACCCAGTCTATCATTGATGGGCATTTGGGCAGGTTCCAAGTCTTTGTTATTGTGAACAGTGCTGCAATAAACATACATGTGCATGTGTCTTTATAGTAGAATAATTTATAATCCTTTGGGTATATACACAGTAATGGGATTGCTGGGTCAAATGGTATTTCCAGTTCTAGATCCTTGAGGAATCGCCACACTTCTTCCACAATGGTTGAACTAATTTACACTCCCACCAACAGTGTAAAAGCGTTCCTATTTCTCCACATCCTCTCCAGCATCTGTTGTTTCCTGACTTTTTAATGATGGCCATTCTAACCGGCATGAGATGTTATCTCATTGCAGTTTTGATTTGCATTTCTCTAATGACCAGTGATGATGAGCTTTTTTTCATATGTTTATTGGCTGCATAAATATCTTCTTTTGAGAAGTGTCTGTTCATATCCTTCACCCTCTTTACTGTATTGTTTTGCTAGAACTGCCTTAGCAAAATATCACAAAATGAGTGGCTTAAACAACAAAAAAGTATCCTCCAACAGTTCTGGAGGTTAAATGTGTGACATCAAGGTGTATGTCTGACATCAAGGTATGTATCTGACATCAAGGTATTGGCAGATTTGTTTTATTCTGAGGAATTTTGAGGGAAAGATTTGTTTCTAGCCCTTTCTTCTTGACTTTGAAGATGGCCATATTCTCCTATGTGTCTTCTCATTATCTTCCTTCTCTTTCTTTCTATCTCTGTGTCTATATTTTCCCCTTGTGTAAAATACCCATAATACTGGATTGAAGCCCACTGTGATGACCTCATCTAACTTTATTACTTCTATAAATATCCTATCTCCAAATAAGGTCACATTCTGAAAATAAAAACAGTGGCGGCGGGGGTGGGTTTGAAGAGGTTAAGATTCCAAAATATTTTTGTGGGGCAGGGAACAATTCAACCCATAATGAATAACTATAATTGTAATTATAGTTATTTTCTTTGATGGGGGCGTGAAACTTCATATACTGAAAAATAGAGGATCCATGCTTGGGATATTTATCTTTGAAAACAATCCAATGTTTTGTATCTAATATTTGATACATTTACCTAGAAATACCTTGACTCATGCTTTCAACCTTTTTTCAAGAGGAGTTTTCTGGAGCAGGATAATTATTCTTTCCAATAATACCTTAGAGTTGACTACTAATGTTATTAGTTTATACTTTAAATTTTGCAAATATGGAATTGCTTGTAAATTATGTTAGAGTCAGAATGAATTCTCTTGACAGTCCCAGAATTAAAGACTATTTCCATGTAATATTTCTTCAGTTTTGCTTTGAAATGATTCTTACCTGCTTATTATAAAATCTAGCACTATTGTGAAACATTCACGGATGTATACAGCCAAAATTGAAATCAATTAGTAACTATTTATTATAATTATTAGAATCATTCTTAATTATTTGTTTTGTCATTCTTTTATGAAAATTATTTTAAGGATTTATTTATATCAATCCAAACAAAATATACCTAATATGCCAAATTCCATTAATGAAAAGTGAGACAAGATAAGAAAATAACCCAGAGAAACTCAATATTAGAAAGGTACTATTTTTTCACTACCTTTGCCAAAAATCTTTGGCTCTCAAAAACAATGATTAGAACAAAACA